>NC_000011.10:35666060-35817575 GCF_000001405.40 Homo sapiens | reverse complement strand
ACACACATGCATACACACCCACAGACACACACAAATGCTAACACACACGGAGAGAAAAAAGATGACTTGGGACTCTTAGAGGAACAATTTTTCTGTTATCACTGTCCTTTTTACTTTGCTAAGATCTTACCGTGTTAGAGGTGGAAGAGAAAAGAGAGATCCTCCAATGTCTCTGACCCTACCCGTCATTTTAGGCGCATGTAGAGAGAGAACATGATGTGCCAAATGCCACACAACTTGTCAGTGGCAGAGCAGGGATGGGAGTGAGGCTTCTCAACTCTCTTCCCTCTTTTCATGGGAAAAGAAGGTGCCTTTTGGTGGTGCCACCTGCTTTGGACACTCATTCTGGGGTAGATGTAGCTAAAGGTATCTTTCAGTTTTCTGCATGAAGATATAATATCTGGAGTACCTCTGGATATGGGCATTATCAAGATGTCAGTCAGTTTAAGTCCATAAATTTGAACATCTACTCTGTCAGGCGACTTTGTCATCATTAGTAATATAGGAGCAAACGACTAATACAACCTTCAAAGAGTTACAGACATCAACCTTATGAACAAGTAAATACATACGGTAATTTGAGGTACTTACCGTTGATATGAAAAAGTACATGGGGATGTGGTACAGAGGGCTATGAAACAGCCATGGGGAGCATCTAGAGGTGAGCAGAGCAGCTCAGTGAGGGGCAACATGAAGGTGGCTCCATCTACTGAATCTCTAACAGGACTCCAGCACAACAGTCAGAAGCTACCATTTCTAAGTGCTTACTATGTGTCAGGCACTGTACTAAGCCCTGTAGACCATCTGCTCATTTAATTGTTCAGAGTTAGTAAAGAACAAAGCCAGTACTAAAACCAAGTCTGTATGCTTCTAAAACCTAGTATCAGGAGCAAGCTTGTCCCATTTTCCAAAGACAGAAGACGGCACATTGCTCTTTTTTGTGAAGATGCAACACTAGGGTCAAGTGGTTCACAATGTTAACAGTTTCCTCCCAACAATTTAGTCTAAATTTTACTTTTCACTCCATTCCATTACTCTTAGGTCTACCCTCTAGAGACCCTTCTGTTCCCCAATTACACACATAAAATCAATTACATTGTATTATCTGATGCCAGTTGTGTTTATACTGTAGAAGGCAGAAAAGTGTTTTTATGAGTGGAGATTGTTTTTCCATTCTGTTCCTTCCCAGGGGGGATCTAAATACTCTTTTTGAAGTTAGACATTGTGTGTGGTTTTGGAGCTGAGTTGGGAAGAGGATGGATACGCACCACACCTTATTTATTTTCTCTTCTGTGAAACAGTCTCAGCTGTTTTTTTTTCTCACAAATTCAATTTCTTACTCTTGAAGAATGACCCAAGCTGAGAAATTTCCCAAACATCTGAAATCTGAGAATTTGTGCCTGGAATCCATGAGGCTCATGGTTTCCAGATGGAAAGGCCGGAAGAATAGGAGGCGGAGGAGTAGAGGCAGGGTGGAGTGATAAAAGGGAGGGGGAGCCTGAACTTTGGATCACTTCTGACTGCCTTGTGAACTAGGCCAGGTCCCTTATTTGCTCTGCAAGTCTGCCATTTGACAATGGGCCAGGTCTGAAGATAGACAGCAGTTTTGCATGTCCTCATGAGGCTGTTTCAGTGATTATTAGAAGTAAGTCATTGTAAAATTGTCTTTTTCTGAAGGCAGTGACTGAAAGCAAACAAGCCCATGACTTGGCTATTCAGAGGGGCATAAACACTCCAGATGGATTTTCTCATTGTCCCAGAAATGGCAAAAGACAGACCATTCTAGGAATCCTGGCTTCTTTATACCACTTAAACATATGCAATGGCAGATGCCCCGGTGACCTAATTCTTCCACGTCTTGTCCTCATAATAGAGGTAAGAGAAAGAGATTAACAGGAAAGCTTGTTTTGAGTACATAACAGTCAAGTATAATTTGGCCACAAGTGGGCTAGGTATACTCTCAGAGGAATGCCTTTATTTGATCAGACAGGTCAGAATCTTCCAGGGAAAATATTAATTTGGGGAAAATAGATCAGAACCTACTTGTTATCAAATGGGAAATTGGCTTGAGTGTTGAGAAATACCCATTTTTATTGTTATCAGTGGTTTGTCATCCTCCCCACCTGAAACTACCCTACTGACACTCCCTATTGCCCTACTATCACCAAGTCAAAGAGCAATCTTGTTCCTCTATCATAGTTCTTCCTACTTAGAAGCTGAATTTCATACTAGGATACAGCCATCCAACTGGGTCTAAAAGGTCTCATAATGTGTGGAGAGAAACCAAATATAGAAAAGTTACTTCCAATTAACACCTCTAATCTCCAGATGTCCTAATAAAAACAGTGAGGCAACAAATGGCCACCCTCAAGCCAGAGAACCATACTTGGACTCAAATGTTTTTAAGAGCCAGGGAAAGTAGCTAACCTCCTCTTAATTTGATCTCCTGGCCTGGGACATATAAATGTTTAACTACACTCTGGCTTAGGGAGGAAAGCAAGCAGAGGTGAATGTATCCTGTAGTGGCATGGCTTCAACAGAGCATTTGTCTCACCCTGAAATATGAAGGAGCAATGCCTGCCTCCTCAAGCTGAGCAGTGCCCAGAATTTATGAACTTCAAGTATGATGTGAATCTGGGGTCCGAGCCAGGCATTATCATTGGGAAGTGGTGGACAATTTCCCTCTCCCTCCCTCCTCGTTTTCCTACTGCTGATTGTACTGTTCAGAAGTGAATCATGATTTAATCCCCTCTGCTGTTAAGAGTATTACAAAATGCTGGTTACAATGAAGTCACAAAAGTATTTACATAAAAGAAAAAAGACGGACAGAGAATGTTATAGCAAGTGACAAAACTCATCATTACCACCAGCAAAAAGATAGGTATGGAAAAATCCTTGCCTGGGTACCAAATGGGATGCAGCTGATTTAGACCATCTCTATATATAATCAGCGTGGCACATGTTTTTACAGTCATGCAGTGTTGAAAGCAGTGCATCATGGGAGAAAAGATAGTTCTAGTCACATGCATCTGGGTTTTTAAATCTTAGCGTCATCAGATCAGGGCCAGGTTACCCCAGAGTGCTCAATAATCCATGAGAAATGAATCCTATCTTCGTTCCAGGGCTTAGTATTGGCATTACACCATTATTAGATGCAAGCAATTCTTTGATTGATGGCTCCAACATGGATTAAGGTCAAAAGTGGCCCTGGAGACCAAATTCCCTAGTGAGGAACTGCCACATAACTTCATGTGTCTTTTGCTTCTGAATTATTTCTTCTAGAAACCACCAACCACAAGCTGTCACGCTGGTATTATATCTACATAACGTTTATTCTTCTTACAGCAAAGAGCTGGAGAAATACAAGTGAGAACCTGTTATTACAGGTTAAATTGTGTAACACTCAACTTGCGCTGAGGTCCAGTTTCTTTTTATTATGCTCCAATTTTGTTGAATGACTATTGCCTAAAATAAATGGGCAATCGACAGGGGCTTAGAACTAACAGGGATGCTTAAGTGACTTTTATGGTAGCAGTATTTGTTGTAACAGAATTTGATCTGTATTCTAGTTATTAGTTTTATTCATCACATTGGAAAGTTGGCACCTCCACTGTTCATGCCATTATATGCAAAGCACTGTAGCATGAAAGTCACTTACAAAGCTGTGAAAAAAACTCTCTGAACACCAGAGGCTCATGAAACAATAAAAGTCAGCTAGGGGGATATACACTGTTTGATTTAGCTAAATATTCTGGATGGTCAAAGGTTTATTCCTTTTAATTCCTAAAAGTTTTTTTTTTTAACCATTGGGATGTAAATATTTCTAAAATGTTTGATATACATATTTTTGTCTTCTAAGCATAGTTTTTTTATGTATGGTGCACAGGGTCATCATTTTAAATAGAATATTGTCCCATGATACAGTGAGGCTCTTAAAGATTGAGATGTGTATAGACTGTTTTTGACACTAAATAACCCATATATCAGGGCTTTGGAGCTTTGCAGTCTACTCAAAATTTCCATTTTCTCTATTGCTGTCCTCCTTTTTCCTTCTTGTTTCCTCTAAAAGTCTGTTTCTTTCCTTTACAGTTAGAAATATGTGTGAAGGAAGAGCAAATAGGTTCTGAGGAGGTGCCTGATGACTAGATGTATGGCCTTTGTCTTATGCGTTTGCTTCATGGTATTTATTTCAATTGGTTGGAAGCCTTGTTTGCTTACTTCTTAATTCTCAGTCACTTTTGATGGGTTCAGCAGAGGTTCTAGATTTTTCTAGTTCTGTCTCAGTTACTCATTGTCAAACCACTGGTTTAGATTTTGTGTTCAGGAAATAGGGATAGGTAAAGCTATCAGGTGGCTAAGCCCTAGGTAAATGAGTTGCCATGAATCCTAAAATATTGTGAAGGTTGTGGGCCATTTTTATAAGGCAAATGGTATGCTGTGGCCGTGACAGCTGAACTCAGTAAGTGAACTTTAAAACAGATAAGCTCCTTTTGCTGTTGTCCCTTTCCAAGAATATGAAGCTGGCCTGACGTCAAGCTGTTGGAGAGCCTTCAACATGTTTAATTAAATCACAGACTCAGTGTCAGAGCTGGCTGACTTTCAGGATTCTAACGCTATAGCAAAAGAAGACATGGTTTTGCCTCTCGTTGATTTTCTTATTTATGGCCTTGGAATAAAGAAGATAAAGCAAGTCTAACAGTTCTCCCTTCCAAAAGTACAGTTTCAGGCCAGAAGATTTGACTGCTACCCTTAGACTTTCTTTCCCTCACTGTACATTGCATTTTACAGGCTATACAAAGCAAGACCTTCTTTGCAAAAGGCAAACTCCTTTGCCCCAAGGCCATACTGTACATGTGTGGGGGTAGTTGTAGGGGGATCAGTGTTGTTATTCACCAATACAAGATGGAATCAGTGCAGCTAGGAGAGAAGAGATTAAGGAAAGAGGCTGTGAAGTCTGCTAGACCTGGGTTTAAATTCTGGCTTCCCGCTTATTAGGGTGTAACCGTGGTCACAGTACTTAATTCTCTAAATTTGATTCCTGAGCAACAAAGTGGGGAATGATAGTATTGGTGCTGTTACTATTATGATAATGTGAAAAACAACAGGAGAGTACCTGGCCCAGAGAAAGAGCTAAGTGACAGCTCTTATTAACATAAATGAATGATTTAAACCTGGAGATTACAATAGTTAACAAGCACAGACACTTAGTGCAGTCTGTTACTGACTTCAAGCAGTCTTTTGCTTTTGTTTCTATTTCTGTGACATCTTCTCTTATTACGACTTTCTGTTGGGTGTCTCTAACTCTGGTGCCTTGTGAAGGCCAGGAGATATTCCAGACAAGCTGAAATTCTACCTTTTTATGAGTATAAAGGAAATGGGGCCATGTTGGACCAAACAAAGAGTAATAAAATAAAATATAGAGTTGTAGCTTTCAGAGGGAAAGATAAAACAAGAAAGGGCTGGGGCAATGGATGTGGTGTTGAGATACTGGCACCAGGAAGCAGGGAAGAAAACCTCCAAACACATTGTGGTTTGTTAAAACACTGAAGACTCCTAAGTGCTACAGTGGCAGGCAGTGCCACCCCACCAGGCAGCAGTGTCCTCCGCAACTGGGGAAGAGGAAGTAGGGCCTAATGATTGCTCTCGGAGACAGAGAGTCTGCTGTCCTGGGCTTTACCAGCCTGGCTTGTTGGGTGACCTTGAGTGACTTATCTCCCTCTCTTGGACAATTTTCTCAAGGTTCTCACACAGTCCCTAGCTAACTAAAAGGGTCTGATGAAGATAAATGTGTTAAAAGAAAATTTAGAGGAGAGTCCACAAACTGTCCCTCCAGATACACCTGCTGGTGGGTTTTAGGATTTTTAAACATTAAATTTTAATGCATTTAGGCAGGGCTTGGTATTTTCTAATTCACACAGTATCTACCATCTTGAGTCTTCACATTTGGCTCCTGAAGGCCTCTGAGTATATGACTTCTGATTTCAATGCAACCTCTGGTCCTTCAAACCAGCTTGGAATTGCTTCATTTACAACTCATTCTATGTTTTCATCAATTACATGCAAATATGTATTTCTAAAGTTTCACAAAACAAAGATTTTGTTGGCCTAACTGTAATTTGCTCTAAAAGACATTTTTTTTTCTAGAAAATATGGCAAAAATTACAATTTTACCTTCCTTCTAGTTCATCCAAATTCTAAAACTTTAATGTTATTTGAAAACATAATTTGGCACCAAGTATTCTTTAGGTTATAATCTAAGTTGCTCATAAAATGTAATCTAGGCCTGGATCATTTTACTTTGAGGAGAAAACTTATCACTAAATAATAATGATCTTAAGTCTGTTCTTTTGCCACTTCCCAGAGCTCTCTCCTAAGGCACTGTGGAAAAGTCAGGAGTAAATTAGACTCCCACATCTAGTAACCAAAACACCATCATCTCCAGCATTACCACAGTCAAGTATGCAGCTCGTCATAAATATTTACACCTTGCAGGGTCCTTTGTGCACAACTCTGAGAGACAAATGGCATTTCCAGTAATAGTTTATTGATTTCCAAATGCACAGGGGCACCAAGTCCGAACATCCTGGGATAGCAGTAAATCTCTCTTACAAAATAATTTACAGTATGAAAATGATATACTGAAACATTAACCCAAACGTGTAATTCCCTTGAAAGATTCAGTGTTCCCTTGTTTAATGTAAAGGGTGGAAGGGGAAGATTCCTAAGGAGGGAATGTGACTGTGCACAGGAAAATAGGCAGAGGACAATGGATTCATTGGTTCTCCCCATTCATGCAGTGTGGCCTGTCACTGTAGAAAGACTGGTCAGGTTTAACCCTCATTAAGTATTAATCTGCTGTCCCCTCAAAGTCATATCAAGCCCAGTATGGGCTCCGTGGCTTTTTTTGCACCAATGTATCCATAAGTGTCTCCACTTATTTTCATTTTTCTGCTCTGGCCCTCGTTCTGCTGTTTCTGGTATGTTCTCAGTTCCAAATTATACTATCTTATCTTACCAGGCAGGCCTCCAGAATCAAGAACTGCCTGAGTCTTATGGTTTCTGGAATGGGACAGGGTAGGGGGCTTCATAAGCACTGCTGGATAAAGGCAATAATAATGAGACTGAAGTCTCCCATATGGGCCTTCTTTTTCTCTTAGAGCTGGGCTGGACTCAATCCATAATGAGATTTTTTTAAACATAAAAATCTGATGTGATCAGCACACAGTAAACGTGCAGTTAATTTTCTTATTGAGAAGCATGTATTGCACAGCCATTATATGAATGTGGAATTTCAGGAATGGCAAGAGAATATTTTCTACTTGGGGAGAGAGGACTTCCTAGACCCTGCCACAACTACAAGGTCATGAATTCTGCATTTGTGCCCTTAGGTCTAACTGGAGTAGTTAGACTCTCAGGTCACCAAAATGGCTGGGCATCCAAGTTTCCCATCTTATTAGACATCCTGGAGGAGGGCTGGAGTGCAATTTCCTTCAGGGCTGTCACTTTGACTCAGTGCCTTAGGAGCTAATGACCTTTGCTAGGGAATTGCTCTTCCTGTAAGCAAGTACCTAAGCCCCAACTATATGGTGACACTTGTAATTAGGGCTGACAGAAATCTTTGAAGTAGTACGCAAGATAATGAAGGGGCTGCTTTGAGTTTTCCTTAGCTCTCAAATATTGTGTGTGTGTGTGCGGACATGTATGTATGTATATACATATACACACATATCACACTTGTCCTTTATATATAGGTACACACTCCCCCGACACACACACTAAAACCAGGAATCAGTAAGAGAGTCCAGATTCACTGGACTTTGAATTGCCACATCCTCACAGAGTACACTGGCGGCTAAGTTTACTAAAATATGAAGATTTCCTTTTCTACAGGAGTGAAGCTGCAGACATTTTCAAATAAAGTTGAGTAGAGAGCAGAACACCCTTCACTTTTACTACTGCTGCAAAGTTCTATATCTTTGAAGGCCAAGAAACACCTTATTTATGGAAGATGGCATGAAAAAGGAAATGTTCTCCTAACTCCTGGGGGTGGGCTCAAGTCAGCAATGTGTACTTAAAGCATCTGCTAAAGGGGAGAAATAAGGCTACCTCAATGCCATTTCTGAGCCCTAACTATAACTGTGAAATGTCATTTTGAAGAAGATTCATAAATTGGGATGGTCAGCACACAGTGGGAAAACCTGAAGTCTTTTTATCCTTCTGTTTTTAGGTGGACCATGGTGTGTGGTACAAAGTGCCTGTCCACAGAATTAGGGGGAGCTGCGTTCAAGATTTGGCTTGAGTATTTCCTAGCTGTATAACTTGAAGCAAATGACTCTTCCACTCCCCATCTGTTTTATTATCTAAGAGACAGCTCAGGGCCTGGCTCATAGTTGTTCCTTAATACAAGTTATTTCCCTTCTTGGGCTGTCAGAGCCGAGACTCCAAGCACTTCTTGGGACTGTCCTGGATTTAATGATATCAAATCAAAGTCCCTCTCAGCATCCAGAAATTCAACATTTGAAAGATAGCCAGAAATTGCTATGAGTATCCGACTGATTCTGGAAACATTCATTACCTGCCTCCCTTGGTGACTTCTCTTTAGGGGTTTCAGCAAACCCTGCCACCTGCACCCAGGCAAGACCCAATTCTGAGCTCTCTAACTTTTACTGACCTGGCAGGAGGGAAGCCTCATCATGCTGGGGCTTAAGGCCAAGCAGCATGCTCCAGCTCTAGGGGAAGGTAGTGCCACTGCAGGAAGCATCCTAGTTCTTACATTGATAAATGCTGCCGGCAGGAACTTAGAAGCCTGGGCAAAAGCTGCTGCACTGTGTTTAATGCTTCCCTGGTTAAAGTTTTATCAGGTACTGAAGACAGCAGGAGTCTATAAAGCAAATCTGAAACGCTTTCTAAGTAAAAGCAAAAGTGCTTTCCTTGAGGATCACAGAGATATGATAAGTTACTGAGACAGGTTGGCAAATATTTTTATATTTCCATTTATATCCACTGCATAAATGCTTGAATTTCCCAAATACTGATTCAAAGTAGTAACATATGATCAGATATGGAGAACCAATGATCTGTCTATTGCTAATATAAGGCTACTATTTGGAGATCAAACAATGATTATTGGGGAAAGACAATACAAGCTTCCAAATCCTAAAATCTTTTTAATCTTCTGATACTTAAATTTTTTCGAGAGTGGCCACTGGTCCTTCTTTTAGGGTACTTTTGTTGGATATGATTGGTGGTTGTAATTAATGGTATGCCAAATTCTCCAGTCTTTGCAGAGATAGGTAAAGCACCAAAATTGTCCTAGCCATTTCTTGGCCATCAGTTTGAGAGAAAAATGCTTTTTTTTTTTTTTTTTTAACACCTCAAACTCCCCTCAGCCCCAATATCCTGGCATCTTTAGTGAGTCAGGACAATCCTAACCTAGAAGCATATATGCCTGGGAGCTTCCTGGCCTCAAAGGAATAAATCTTTTCACAGCATTCACAGGACTGAAAAATAATATAAATAGGATTCCTACAGTAAACAAGTATTGTTTCTGTTTCAAAACCATCCTGCAAGCATAACAATCAGCTGGTCCTAAAGCCTGTAATACGTACACAGGTCACAGGCAGACAGGCAGGCAGGAAAAGGGATTTCCCCCAGTGCAGGCTCCTTTGGTTCTGCCTCAGAGGCACTAGAAGTCTAGGCCCTGGGTTAACAGCAACCCAGAGTCTGCTTGGATATGGTTCTAGTTGTATGCTTCGTAAGTGAACACCAAAATACCATAAAGGTAGAGGAGAGTGAACACATAACCCACTTGCAAATAAGAATTACCTTGCAAGATTCCTATTTTTTTATCTTAACAGTCTATGCGTATGAACATTTTATTCTATAATATAACTTTTATATAAAAATAGGTCATCTTATGACTCTAAACCATTTGGTAAGTAAAACTGATGCTTCAAGAAGATGCAGGTTTTTAAGTTTGCAGTTTTACATTCCCCTAGTACATCCCTGCTTACTCGGGAGCACAAAGCTTGGTTGTAAGAAATTGTGATTTGGAAGTAGAGAAAAGCAAGGAAGTCCAACCTCAGGAGTGTCTCTGTTACTAAGAGGAGAGTGAGATCCAGGGTGTGGGAGATGATCTGAAGGTCTATGGGTGGGGAGTGCCACAGGAAGAAGGGTTCTGGTCGGAGTTAAAGGAGGATATATCTATATGCTGGGAGATGAGCTGAATTCAGAACACATGGAATGGGAACAATTCTCCCCATACTGCGTTTAAGCCAAATTAGGCTAAAATGGGGGTGGGACTAGCAAAAACCTACAATGGAAATTCCCATTTGGTAATATACATTCCAGCCCTTCACGTTGTGACAAGCCCATAAAACCTGCAGAATTCACCCAAATAATTCTGGTTCTATTAGATCCTTTACTGACTATTTTGGAAATTCAAGCAATTTGAATTCAGAAATACTGATTTCAACTTTTAATCAGACTTCTTTGGTCCTTTTTTTTCCCCCTAAGGTCATTTCCGTTCCACCTCTTCAATCATTTTTTTCATTTCCACAGCACTGAATTATGAATATCAAGTCCTGGATAACTTCATATACTAAAAATATCTCTTCCTCATCTTTAACTCTTTCTCCAACACCTTTTTCCAGTCATCCATCTTAATTCATGGCACCACAATTTTCACAAATGTAGAACTGGACTTTTAGGGACTGTCCACAAGAGTTAATTTGGCCCTACCTTGCTCTCATTTATTTCATGCTTCAATATGAACAAAATTGGGTTTTTGTTAATAGGCAGGGAGAAAACTCTGACTTCCCTTCAAGATTATTCCAGATCCTTCCTAACAAAGCGATACTGTTTGGTAATACAATATTATGGGGGCTGGCTTTCCTGAGTAAGTTCAAAGCAGCCATTGAGGGATTACCTGAAGGACCTTTCTTAATTGCTCCTGGTGGATCAAAGGGGCTCTTTTCCTTGACCTACCACAACCAGGGGATGAGAAGCACACAGTAAGCATAAAACTGGTCATCCCTTGGAGAGATATGTGCCTGCTGTGGATCTGGGGACACATCTGGTGGAAGTACGTTTGTTGCTGAGCAGCTTTCACAGAAATCAGAAGCCGTTACATACACGCTGTCACATACACACAAGGGGAGGGGATGATTTTCCACTGGGGGTAGCAAGCCTTCATGTGTCCTCTTCTTCACTGGCACCACTACAAAGGAAAAGGAGAACCAGGTGAGTTAAGATATCACAAGAAGGGAGGCAGCCTAGTCTACTGGTTGATAGCACAGACTTTATGTCAGACATACCTGGAATTAAGTCTTAACTACCATGATTGAGCAATATGGCCAAAGGCAAGTTACTTCGTTTCTCTAAATTCTGATTTCTTTATCTGGCCATAGGGGGAATGATGATAAAACTTACTTTCTTGAGTTACTAGAGGATTAAATAAGAGAATACATATAAAATGCACAGTACCTGGTATACAGTACGTGAGCAGCTATTTAAAGGAGCAGGTGAGAGTCATAATTCTTTTAAACTTAACTGACAAAATAAATTGCTGGTAAAAATCAGGTGTATGATTTCCTCTAAGCCTTAAGCCATCTACTGTTAGGAGAGAAAAAACAAGGAGAAGCTACTACCATCTGCACTCTCAATGGCACTCTGCACTTGGAAAAAAAATCCAAGATTTCAACTCATGCCATAGGGACATATGCCACCTCGTCAGAGAAGGTACTCTACTAAGTAGGACTCCCTGGTGATTCTCTATCTTATGTCTGTCATAGGCCTTATCACATTACATAATTTATTTGTTTACGATTTACTCTTCTCTCTACCCATGACTACAGCATATAAGAATAGCAACACTTTATTAACTATGTATATCTAGCACTAGCACTGGGCTGGGCACATAGAGGTGCTCAATAAATAATTGGTTTTTAAAAGGAAGTGAAATACAAACAACAGGAAGAAAGGGAGGGAGGGATGGACACAGTTGAAGGGACTGGTCAGTCATTACTGCCCTGGCCAGGTTATTCCAGATGTTAGTGATGTTTCAGTGGTCAAATAGTTGTCAAGTCCCTCAGGCATGGCTAGTACCTCAGCTGCTCAGAGTTACAGCCCCTCTGGCTTGGACCTGGGAGAGAACACTGTTGGTACAGGGACTGGGGCAAGGAGAAGGTAGAGCCTGAAAATGCAGGAATGAGCACACTCAGAAAAGCAAACGTAGCAAACTTGCCTAGTTTCTCCCCATCCTCTTCTATAGGTCACTGCCCTTAAAATAGTAACAAGAGCCAGCTTGAGCAAGTGCTTACTGTGGACCGGGGCACTGAATTACGTGTTACTCACCCATTCTTCCTATTATGTAGGGGCTATTATTATCCCCCGTTTTCCAGATGAAAAAAGTGAAGCTCTAAGAGATGTAAAATCCTAGGGTCACATAGTAAGGTCTGTGTCCTTAAAACTCAAGGTTTAGTTTCAGTTGGATAAAGTCTGAAGTGGTCAAGCTGGTAGAAAAGGAAAAGGCCTGTAGAACATCAGCTCCCAGCTATTACCTAGAAATTTTTCATCTCACAAGGGATTATCTATGTCTATATAAAACCTGTGCTCTTTTGCATCCATCTGGGAAAGACTTTAAGGGAAAATATCCTAGGCAGCAAATTTCTAGAACTTCCACTAAGGGCAGAAACATTTCAAGAAACAGGTCCTGCAAGTTAAGTGTATGCTAGGAGCCAAAAGAACCAACTCAATAATCTTCACCATTCCAAACTCTGCCCTGTTTCCACTCCCCTTTCCTGCTGGTTATACAATCATGGGATGAAGGGTGCATGCTGGAAATGCTGGACAGTGGGCTGTCATTAAGAAGCAGTATTTAATGGCATCTGTCCCAAAGGGAACACAGGGTCTTTTATGAAAGCTTCTCACCAGAATCAAGGCAGAGCTGGAACTGGCGTCATATTCTCCCCCTTTGGTATTACATCCAAAGCAAGCTCTCATTGTTCTCTTGTCAGTTTTATTTCAAATATGAGGGCAGCATGGTGACTCTGCCCTAAGCTGCAGTTCACTTTTTAGCATTCTTAACGTGAGACATAGTTTAAACGTTCATGGACCTAATGAAATTGTATACAGAATTTTATCTGTGTGTTCCTTTGTCTGAGAGAAGACATACTTTTCATCATATTTTCAAAGAAGTCAACAACTCTCTTGCCAAATTGGGAATAACCAAATTATAAATAAACTCTTTTTGGTTGCCAGGTTCTTTACTATAATATTTGGAGAGTGGCTTGGGGAAAAGGTCTGAAGTCTGAACTGATAAAATCTTTTCTCGTTAACCTAAAAGAGACGTGTTCTTGGGCCTGAAATTTATCTCACAGTTTAAAACATGAGATCTTAGGATACTGGCATATCATTTATTGATTACTTCATTTGCTAAATATTTGTTGACTGTCAACCATGTGTAAGTCATGATGCTAGAAACAAAAATGAATAAGATGAACACGGGAGTTGCCCTCTAGGACTTTAAAGCCTAGTAGGTGAGATACAGGCTCAGGGGAGGGAGGAAGAACCTTTTTTTTTTTTTTTTCTTCCCAGAACAGTACCTTCAAAGAAAGCATCTTATTTTTATAATAACCCACTTCTCACAATAATGAAAAAGAAAAGGGATCATAACTGAATCTATAACACAGAGCTTTGCTCAGCTTGTATGTCGTCTCTCCTGGAGGGTTCAACAATATAATTAGTGTGAGGCATCATCTCCTCTCCTGAATGTTCTTGCTTCACTTTGTATATAAACTTTGTATATAAGCTCATCTATGTTCATGAGGTTATCTCATTTTATTTATTTATATTTGAGATGGAGTCTTGCTCTATCACCCAGGCTGGAGTGCATCAGTGCGATCTTCGCTCACTGTAATCTCCGCCTCCCGGGTTCAAGCGATTCTCCTGCCTCAGCCTCCTGAGTAGCTGGGATTACAGGTGCATGCCACCATGCCCAGCTAATTTTTGTATTTTTAGTAGAGCTGGAGTTTCACCACGTTGGCCTTGAACTCCTGACCTTGTGATTCCGCCTGCCCCAGTCTCCCAAAGTGCTGGATTACAGGCATGAGCCACCATGCCTGACTGTTCATGAGATTTTTATCTTAGTCTATAAAAGTCTTCACTTTCTGCAAGGGAAGTAATACAGCCTTCTACCTCAGCCACTTATCATGCTCCTCTGAAACACCTGCCAGTCACACTTAGACTTACAACTGGAGTGGGACTCAGAGGTTAATGGCTGTTTCATTTTTTTTTTTTTTTTTAAATAAACTAAGGGTGTTAGGCAGACAGCACGTTCTATAGCAGGTACTTACCAATGAGAGAGGCAGCATTACATAATTACTTTTGTGTCACCAGACTGAACTAGGTTCAAATGCCTGTTATTAACTAATAAACTGTGGGATCTTACGTAAGTCACTAACATCTCTGAATCTCAGTTTCCTCATCGAAATGCTATCTTCCAGGGTTACTGTGAAAGCTTTATGTATTTTATGCAATACAAATGATAAAAAATGTTACCCTTCTTCCTCAACCCACCTTCCTTCTTATCCTGAATAAAAACCTGCCTCCTCCTGCCTTTCCCTCAAATGTTCCTAGCTCTGGCAGCTGAAACATTACATTCCAGAACAAGTGTGTTCCTATCCCCAAATACCCTTCAAATATCTGGAGAGCAACAGTATCCTGCTTTGCTCACTTGGAGAGTTTTTTAAATGACAACCCAGACCTAATGAAATACAGGTACTAACTAGAAAGGCTGAGTATCACTCTGACCCTTCTAGGTGGCAGGTCTCAAGAAAAGTCATGCCTGCCAAACACTGGGGAGAACAAATACGGAGTGAAGTTTAGTTAACCGGCCTTAGCTCGGTCACTGATCTAGTTTGAGGGTACTGCTGTATCTAAAAGTGGTGGCCTTAAAACTGGGGTATGGATACCCTTGTGGTATGTAATTACTTTCCAGGAAGTATTTGGGCCTGGGTAGTTTTAAGAAAATTAATGTCCAAATCCTTAACTTCCATATATACTGCTTCCTAAAACTTACCTTCTCAGAAACATGCCTGTGCTCTGTAAGGTTCTTGTTTCAGCCACTCCCACTTTACAGATCACCATACTCCCACACTTCCGCAGAAATGCTACTCTCACTCACCCTTCTGAATCTTAGCATGTAACAATTTTAGAATGTCTCCCTTAGAGGAGTCCTATGAGAGAACCGCAAGCAATAGTAAAGGAGACAATCTCTTTTTTCATTCAGGCAGGAAACTCTTGGCAAGGCTGTGTGTTTTATCTATCTATCCATCGATCTAACACTTCAAATTCAAAAGTGAGGTGGTTATCATGAGGTGTGTGCTAATGTTTATTTGTATTGAAAAAAATGAAATCAGACTTAATCTGACAGAAAGCAAGTCTGATTTGGCTGGATGGTTTGACCACCAAAATTGGCTTTGCCAATTAGATTATATAGTGCACCTTTGCTTGTAAATTTAATAAGCTAAATTCACAGTGCCAAAGTTTTGACAAAAATATATATAAAAACTCATATAAACTACACAATATGTCAGTGAGCACACCCTTAGCAACGATTTACACTTGATACTATGATTTCAGGAATTAATTTAAAAACGGGCAAAAAGGCACATACTTTTAAAATTTCTTTTAGGGGATGTAAAACAAAAAAGTTTAGCTAAAGGAACTGGGAGCTCCTAAATTCTGACCAGGAGGATGGTGTGAAATTTAACACTTTCTTGGTTGTGGGTAGGGGATGGGGTGACAGAATGAGACTAAGGCATTCCAGTAAGCAGAATGCTGTATCCCTTCTCTGAGTTGGGCTTACTGTCTGATGTGGTGCCTGTGAAACTGAAATGTCAGAGGCATGCCATAAGCTCCACATTCAGACCCTAAACACCTGCTGATAAAATGATTATATTTTATCATAATCATTTTACAGTGTTTCACTGTGACCATTTTTTAGTTAGGCTGCATATATAGGCAGCTTAGCTTTTTGGCTTCTGTCCCCAGAGCTTTAGGGGCATAAAGGGGAAGTTAATAAATCAGGTAGCAGGCATTCTGACTTTGCAAGTTTAATAGTTTCTTTTCCTAAGCATATAGTACAACTTAATGTGACTTGGCATCACTCATGTCTTCTGAGTTCTTGGTTATCTATTAATTGATTATTGCTGTAAAAGGATTATTTAACTCAGGAGGATGGTGGAATTAAGAGGTATTGACAAGGAACGAAGGCTAGAGTCAGCTGAAATTCAAAAAGATAGATTTAATATTCTCCAAAAATTACACTGCCTGGGCATTGTACAAGGAGCCAATTGGGAAGTCTCACACTTTCAGTATCTGAGGAAGTGGTTGCCTAGTTGCAGTAAATATGCGATCAGCACTGCTGGGGAGACAGACTAAACACTCGGATCCAGGGACCTTTCTTTACTAGACAGAGCGAGTTGCCTTCTTTGTCCCCTCTGTCCCACACTCACCTGCCCCAACAGCCTGAGCTGAAAATAAGGAGGTTACTGTGCTTTAAGGGATCTGAACTTTACAAAATAAAGTAAAATGTCCTTGGTCTATTTTGGGCTAACTGAGAAAAACATGATGAAAATACCAGAGTTCTAGTCCTGGTTCTGCTGTGTGACTCTAGGACCCAGTATCCTTATCTGGGAAATTAGGATGCCTTGCATTTTAAGCAAAGTTTAGGAAAACTCCAAACCAGACAAAAACTAAGAAAGCTTCCCTCCAACATATAGACTTGCTGAGCTAATTAATTTGCTCTCATTCATACAGCTGTCTCTCTTTGCTTCCTGTGCCCCTCTCTATCCCATCACCACAATCTGAAGGATGGCCTAAATGTTCCAAGTCCTTTCACCTCTTTCTGGCTGGGCCCAAATACTGGGTTGATGCCCGGTACTGAGAGGTGAAGCCAGCTGGACCTCCTGGGTCGAGTGGGAAGTTGGAGAACTTTTCTGTGTCTAGCTAAAGGATTGTAAATGCACCAATCAGCATTCTGTAAAAACGCACCAATCAGTGCTCTGTGTCTAGCTAAAGGATTGTAAACACACCAATCAGCACTCTGTAAAAATGCACGAATCAGTGCTCTGTGTCTAGCTAAAGGACTGTAAGCACAACAATCAGCAGGATGTGGGTGGGGCCAAATAAGGGAATAAAAGCTGGCCACCTGAGCCAGCAGCAGCAACCCACTCGGGTCCCCTTCCACAGCATGGAAGCTTTGTTCTTTCGCTCTTCATAATAAATCTTGCTGCTCGCTCACTCTTTGGGTCTGTACCACCTTTAAGAGCTGTAACACTCGCCGTGAAGGTCCGTGGCTTCATTCCTGAAGTCAGCAAGACCACAAACCCACTGGAAGGAAGAAACTCCGGACACATCTGAACATCTGAAGGAACAAACTCTGGACACGCCACCTTTAAGAGCTGTAACACTCACCGCGAAGGTCCGCGGCTTCATTCTTGAAAGTCAGCGAGATCAAGAACCCACTGGAAGGAATAAATTCCAGACACAGTACTGCCTGATCATTACCTAGTGCAGACCCAAGAGTAAGCTCTGCCATGAGCAAAAGTCCCATGATTCTTTATTTCATCATGGGTCTTAAAAAAAGTTTGACTTCGCTCTAGCCTCACTGCAATTCCTTCTTAAACCACAAGGAGAAGGGCTCTTCTCTCTCTAGTTCTGGTTCTATTTTATCCTATGAGCCTTCTCTCTTTCAGTAATGGCCACTATTCACAGAGGGCTTACTCAATGTTCCACAAACTGTGCTAAGACATCTATATACATAAACTCACCGATAGCTTCTGGTATTATCTCCATTCTACAGATGAGAAAAATGAGGCCCAGAGAGGCTGCAAGACCTGCTTAAGGTACACGACTTGTAAATAATAGAACTAGGTTAAGCAATCAGACTCTAGAACCCCCAGAAATGAACTGAACTTGGGTAAGAGATGAGCCTGTCTTTTCTGAAGTTTTCTGAGGCAAAATGTTTTCACCTGAAAAAATGGGATATTAACACCTACCATGAAGAGATGGAAGATACAAGCACGTGCTTTTTTAAGATGAAAAAATGCCAGAGATGAGTAGGATTACTATAGAAGAAGAAGAAATACAGACCTGAGTTTGTCTCAGCCCTCACAGCTGACTCTGTCTCTCCAGACCTATTTAGGGACCTCTGAGAGAGCCTTGGGTCTCCAGCATGACCTCAGGCCCACACTCTGACCACAGTGCCAAGTTTGAATTGATCTCCATGTACCTTGCAGCCTATTTACTGTTTTTATAGGTAGCTACCTTTCTTGCACTTGGCAGAACCTGTGTGGGGATGGCCTACTTCTATGGAAGATTAAAAGGAGCCAGCAGGCCTGCCCAGGCAGTGCCCTGCAATAGGGAGGTGACTGAACGGAAGTAACAGGCAGGCTTGTAGGTTGCCAGTGTCCCATCTGCTCTCAGAATTCCCTTCTTTAGGACTGAGTCCTTTACTGCTGCTGGATTTAGAATAGAATCATTTACAGCCTTATTTTTTTAATTCAAAGAGTAACTTTTTCTTTTTTGTTGCTTTTTACTTTCTGTAACACACAAGTATTGGTTCCATAAAAAAGAAAAAAAATTCCATTATGTTACCACCACAGATAATCACCATTATCACAGTGAAATATATTTCCCCATACACCTTCTATACATATATAAAAATAAGTTATCTTTTATAAAATCAGCTCATACTTGACAGTCTCCTTCACAGTCTGCTTTTTCCACTCAGTTATCAATCATGAATGTCATATCAAGAAATATATTTCTGTAAGATTATGATCATGATTGATTTGTATGGATTTATCATACCTAATATTGGGCATTTAAATTATTTCTACCTTTTCACTATTACCCACATCTCTGTGACACACATCATTGTGGATGAATCATCCTTAGTTATTTCCAAAGAAAAATTCCCAGGAGTTTCCTCCTGGGTCCAAAGGCATGTTTGCATTTGTTTTATAAGCTTTAATTTTTAGAACAGCTTTAGATTTACCAAAAAATTGCAAAGATAGTACAGAGGATTCCCATACTTAGTCTCCCCTACTATGAACATCATACATTAGCATGGTATATTTGTTGCCAATGAACTATGAAAGGAAAATAAATCTCGGGACCCCAAAATCACTAAGCCAAAGGGAAAAGTCAAGCTGGGAACCGCGATCAGCAAACTTGTCCCCCATTCTGTTCCTAAATAAGATGGCTACAAAGATAAAAAAGCTACATACTGCCCTCACAAAGGACAGACAACAAAGTCATCCCTCTGCTCACGTGAGACAAATGCATATCCAATTGCTTCCTTTGATTCAGTGGAAAGCTAATCAGAAACTCAAAAGAATGCAACCATTTGTCCTTTATCTACTTATGACCTGGAAGCTGCCTCCCCACTTCAAGTTGTCCTGCCTTTCTGGACCGAACCAATGTATATCTTACATATATTGATTGAAGTCTCATGTCTCCCTAAAATGTATGAAACCATGCTGTGCCCCGACCACCTTGGGGACATGTCATCAGGACCTTCTGAGGCTGTGTCATGGGTGTGTCCTTAACCTTGGCAAAATAAACTTTTTAAATTGACTGAGACCTGTCTCAGATATTTGAGGTTCACAGAACCAATACTGATACCTTCATACTAAAGTTCATATTTTGAGATTTCCTTAGTTTTTCCCTAAAGTCCCTTTCCTGCTCCAGATTTCACTCAGAATACCACATTTCATCATTAAGTTTCCATAGGCTCCTCTCGGCTCTGACAGTTTCTCAGACTTTTCTTGTTTGTGATGGTGAGGACGGTTTTGAGGGGTGCTGATCAGGTATTTTGCAGAATGTCCCTCAATCGGAAGCTGTCTGATGTTTTTCTCACAATTAGCCCATGGTTATGGGCTTTTGGAAGGAAAATTACAGAGGTAAAGTGCCATTATCATTACATCATATCAAGGGTTGATACTATCAATATGACAGCACTGTTGAAGGTGGCCTTGACCACCTGGCTGAGGTAGTGCTTGTCATGTTTTTCTATGGTATGGCTACTCTTTTTTCCCATTCCCACAGTGTATTCTCTGGAAGGAAGTCACTACGAGCCACCTATACTTAAAGAGTGAGGAGTTACGTTCCCTCTCCTTGAGGGTGAAATATCTACATACATTATGTGGAATACTTTCAAACATGAGCTTTGTCTCTTCTCCTTCATTTATTTATTTGATCATTTATATCAGAATGGACTCATGGATGTTTATTTTATTCTTTGGGTTATAATCCAATATTACTATTTTGTTGCTCAAACTGCTCAGCTTTGGCCTTTGAGTGCTCTGTTAGTTGGGTCCTATGTTCCATTGACATATCCCCATCAATAACGGTTTTCTGGTTTTTTGTTTTGTTTTTGTTTTTGAGCACTTCCCTACTTTCTAGCACTACACAGCCTTCAGGCTTAGCTATTTCCTCCCCAGACCTAAAATCAGATATTCTGCAAAGAACACAAGAGATATGGTTTTAGAGGCATTTGATACTACCCTCCAGAAATCTTATATTGATTTACAATCATTACTCACATCGGCACAGGAATGCCCATTTTCCCCACACCCTTGCCAATAACGGGGCAATTTCAAAGTGTCTGCAGGGAGATGACCTGGCATGGGATACAGTGTGTGCATATATATGCATGTATGGGTCTATCTGTTCCATCTCTTTAAAATAACTTCTACATTACTCAGTTTCCTGTTGAACTTCAAGAGAAAAATGCCCTGGGGCCAGTTAAGTTTTTCCTTTTCTTTGCCTTTACATTGGCCTTCCCCAGCTTCCCTTTCCTCCCCCCAGTGCTGCTGGATTTTCTATCACTGGCGATCTCCTGTGATGAGGTCTGAAAGGAACCTTTCCTATACCCTCTACTAGGGCCCAGGCAATTTCAGGGGGTGGAGAGTTAGAAGCAGAAATTAGCCCAAGGACTTGCCTTCCCTGCTTCCTGTACCTTCAGGAAATCCACCTGACCCAGTTTCCTCATCTTCTTTTGGCATGTGTATAATGGAAACCAAATCTCTCTCAAGCAGTTTCCTTCCATAGAAATCTTAAACATAAGATTTAATAAAATGCTGGACTTCAAATTTCCTGTTGCCTCAGCTGCTGTATCTCACAAGTTACCAAAGAGAAAAAGAGAAAGGATCAATAAATAAATATACTTGACACTTATCTCTAATCTCTGTCTGAATAGAGATTCACGCTGTATGTGTGCATGCACAAGTGTGTGTGTGACAGCGAGCGAGCGAGGCAGATACACACACGTGCGCGCGCGCACACACACACAGAAAACAGTTCTCAGTAGCTTTGGGAGTCCCATGATGATGACCTTCAACTGAAGTTGTAGGAAGTTGGAAGTATACCAACCCATAATGACCTAGTGCTACTTTTCATATGGCAGCGGGTTATGAATATGGACCTAGGAGTCACAAACACCTGGGTTTGAATCACAGCTCTGCCACTTACTAGCTGTGTGATTTTGAGGTCGGTGTTCGTACTTGGAAATAGTGGACAATGTAGTACCTACCAGAAGAGCTGCTGGAAGGATTAAATTAGATTAATGTATATGAAGTGGTTGGCAGATATATAAAGAGCTTGACATAGTACCTATCACACAATAAGTGCTCAAAACATTTTATAGTTATTTAATAACATCATATGAAGAAACCAAGACTAAGAGAGACTAAAAGTCATACAGTGAGTTGATGGTAGAGTGAGATCGACTGGAAGTCAGTTTCTGGCTCCTGAATATTTCACCATACCTGCAACACCCATTTCCTCTGAAACTGCTATCTATTAAAAAAAAACGGGAAGAGTTAACACTGTTGTCACCTGTACACTCTAGGCACCATGCTGTCATTCCAATGGGCTAAAGATTCCTTCTCAAGTTTGTTCTTTTAGTGTACAGGCCATTTAAAAAATAAAGACGGTGACAGCTATCATGAATAAGAATGCATTCTATGTGCCAAGCATGGTGCTCAAAATCTTAGCAGCACCATCTCCCTATCCCACTGAGTCCAATAGCATGTCCTATTGACTCACCCTGCACAACCTCTCCCATGTGTGTCCATTCATCTTCTCCACTGCTGCCACCATCTCCTGCTTGAACTATTGGAGTTGCTTCTTGACTAGTCTTCCTACTTCTAATCTTAATGCACTATTGCCTATTATCCAAACTGTATTCAGAATAATATTTCAAAAATGTGCAATAGATTATATCAGTACCCCATTTAAAAATCCTTCAATGGCTTCCTATAACCCCTAGAATAAAGTCCATAGCCCACAGATTCCTACATGCTTTGGCCCCTCTCTCCCTTTCCAGCCTGATTCATGCCACCTTCCAGCCACGCTGGCTTTCTTTCTGTTCCCCAAGTAAGCTGATCTTGTTTGTGCCTTAAGGCTTGTGCTTTGCTGGTCTGCCTCAAAGCTCTTACCCTCACATCTTGGAATGAATGACTCATTAACATTCAGGTCTCAGCTCCAATATCATCTTTTCAGATGCTGTCCTGGACCAGGAAATCTAGAGTAGCCACCCCATCCCTGTACTATTACACTAAATTGCTGTATTGTCTTCATAGCACTGATCACTATCTAAAATTATTTTGTGGTGGCAAACGGCTTTAACTATTTTGTTCCCTGCCGTATCACCAGTACCTGGTAATGTGCTTGGCACTGGTGAAACTGCAACAAATGTTTTTGAGTGAATGAATAAATGATCAAAACAATCGTATAAAGCGTGACTGTTCAAGAAACCTTCCCAGGCAAACCATGGGCCACTTGCTGGTCATGGAGACACTGCCTAGGAATCTCATGAACAGCTTACTTTGACAGGTAAATCCAACCTCCATTTCTTTTCTAATTGTCTCTGCAATGACCAGGCACACATAACCACTGGAGCTCTAGACTGAATTAAAATGCTGCATCATAAACTGATTATTCTTACAAACAAGTAAGCCTTACTGGAAGCCGTATGAGTAAAGGATGGCGTGGCCCATGGACAGGGAATACTGTTACAGTGACAAAGCAGAAGCAAGCTCATATCCAGCCTTCCCTAAACAAAGAAACCTGAAGAACAAATTCACCTCCATGAAGAAATGTTCTCATCTGGCTTCTCTATAAAACAGCTGTGTGTTTGCCAACTTCTAACTCTCCACAACCCAGCTGTGAGCTGTTCTCAAGGCAGGCTTGGATTCTAATACTTTATCCACCTCTTACCCTAACAGTCTATGAAGGGAGAGAGATGAGGATGATATCAAGTCAGCAAGGCCAAGATAGAGGTGAGGGGATACTTAATTCATGGCTCCCCTCTTTCCCTCAGATGAAATGTCAGCTGAGGCATGGATCCAGAAGTGGGAGAGCTGGGTTAGTTATTGTGGTGGTTGAGACTGATCATGGAAAAAGCACACAACTAAGTTTTGAGACCCCATTCCAGCATGCATTAGCAGTACAACCTTGGGTGAGATGCCTCTTTAAAGTTTCCATATCTGTAAAATGAGGATAATTATACATTATAAGCACTTACAATTAATAAATGGAAGTTATTACTTGCTAGACACTGAACTAATTAATCACTTCATCCAAATCTTTACAGTTTTCATAATAACCCTGTGTAACAGCATTAACACTCCATTTTACAGACGAAGAAAATACAGAGTAGACAAAGGAAGTAACATCCCAAGGTCCCACAATCCTAGGCAGCGCTGAAACTACCATGGCCTGGCTCTTGTTTTTGGCCCCGGGCAATGAGGAGTGAAGGGAGCACATGAGGGGGCTTGTGACATCAGCTGGCTGCATTTATTCAGCTGGGTTATTGGTAATGCCTCATTACTAGTAGCAGAGGAGGTAACTGGTACCTTGTTGCTAAAGATGTTCCAAGGCCTTGGCAGACTCAAACTCCAGTCTGGGCACCAATTACTCGAAAACTTTCTCCTCGTTACAGGGGATCCCAATAGTCTCTTAGTTTATTTATTTATTTTTGAGACAGAGTCTCACTCTGTCGCACAGGCTGGAGTGCAGTGGCGTAATCTTGGCTCACTGCAACCTCCGCCTCTTGGGTTCAAGCGACTCTCCTGCCTCAGCCTCCTGAGTAGCTGGGATTACAGGCACACACCACCATGCCAGGCTAATTTTTGTATTTTTAGTAGCGACGGGTTTTCACCATGTTGGCCAGGCTGGTCTCGAACTCCTGACCTCAGGTGATCCGGCTGCCCCAGCCTCCCAAAGTGCTGGGATTACACGTGTGAGCCATTATGCCTGGCCCCAATAGTGTCTTTTTATTTGTTGTTTGTTTTTTAAAAAAGAAGCCGCACAGCTAGATTTCTTTTTTTTTTTTTCAGTTTTTATAACTGCAGCCGGTCATGACTCTCCTGTTGTAACCTGGCTGCAAAGTGGCCATTTCCCTCAGATTCTCATCTTGGTTCTTGTGGGCTCCAGCAAACAGTCATGTAAAAGGGCCTGCCACCAAAACCTGTTCCCCTGAACTTAGGACAGAATCTCGTTGGGTCAGATATTGGTTTCATTTTCAATCCTGCCTGTCCTGCAGTGAGAGGCACCAAGGTCTCACTCATTTAATTAGGTTACATAGAAATATCTTTCAAGGTTTGAGCTGATTTTCACTAGACCCTACCAAAGGATGAAATTTGAATTAAGTGCCATCAGGGAACCAGTGATGCAGGTGGTCTGACACATCACTGCTCTATCCTTGCAGCCTCCAGAGGTTCAGGGCTTCAGTGCACCTCAGCACCGTTATGTTGTAAAAGTCAGTCTTTGTCACTTGAGCTCTTTGGAGGCTGCATTTGTTTCTCATTCACTATTTTACCCCTAGTTTGGCAACATGCCTGGCACTGAAGACATTTGGCAGCTGGCATATGGCAGCTCTCATAACTTGCTTTGGCCCAGAAGGAGGGATTTCACTGGTGAGATAAGAGGCAGGGAAGGTAAACCTTCAAGGTAAAAACTACATCCAGCAGGAAAGCATACCTTTCTCTACGAGCACTAAGATCTGTCTACTTGAAGAATTCCTACAGGAGGTAGTATAATATGTTAGGATCATCCACTTTGGAATGAGACCAGGATTACTTACCATCCAAGCCCTTCAGCTCTGAGCTGTGTAACTTTGGCAAAGCTATTTAACATCTAGGCCTCAGTTTCCTCATCTGTGAAATGGGGAGTCATTCCTTCATTTGTGCTTTCAGTGAACAAGTATTTATTGAGTACCCACAGTATATAAGGCACTCAAATAGGTAAAATAGCAGTGAAAACGACTGACAAAGTCCTTGTTTTCATGGAGCTTAATTTCCAGTAAGTTGACAACAAACACGTAAATAATTTCAGATAGTGGATATGAAGAAAATAAACCAGGATGCTGGAATAGAGAATGATGAGAGAGAGTGTGTGTGTGTGTGTGTGTGTGTGTGTGTGTGTGTGTGTAGGGGCAACTCCTCAGGAAGGGATGGTATTAAGATCTACCTCTTAAGAGTTGATGCAAATATTAAATGAGATAATGGATATAATGTGTTCAGCCTGCTGCCTAATGAGTACTCAACTAAATTCAACTGTTTTTGTATCACTCCCCTCCTGAAGTCAGTGGCTATTCTTTCACCTCACAGTGACTGAGCCCCAAATACATGCCAGTGATGGAACACAGTGGTGTATCAGATATCTCTACCATTCAGGAGCTCACAGTATAGCAAAGAATGTAGCTATGAGCCATAAGAGAAGAAGTGCTAAATTCCACCTACAGAGTCAGAGAAGACTTTATCACTGAGTGTTGACAGATGGATTGGTATTTTCTAGGAAGACAACGGGGCAAGGAGCGGGGGGTATGCCAGGTGGAGGGAACAGCTTGAACAAACTCTTGAAGATGTGAAACAGCTTGGCATGTTCAAGGAGCTGTGAAAAGTTCAGAATGGCTGAGATAAAATGTGCGATGGTCCAGTGAGAGAACGTGTCTCATCAGCAGCTCCTAATGCTTATCTTTATGGGTCATGCTTGAAGTGTCTCCTAAGAAAATGTCAGGGCGGGGGGTGTAGATGGGAAAGAACAGGAGGTGAGAAGGGTGTCAGGGCTCCATATGGCATCTACCACATTGCCAGCACTTCAAAATGTGAACAAGGGCTATGCTTAAAATATACAGGCTGTGTTCTGTGTGACACTCCCTGAGGCAGCACAAGCAGATGTTTCAGGAAAAAAAGAAAAACAAACACCCAGTGGTAACTCAATATAAAGCCTACATGGGGGCCAGCAGGCATTAGGATGCTCAAATGTGATTACATCGTCAGCACAGATCTACAACTCAGCTTGGAAGAGTATTACAGGTGCCAATGTCATGATGCTGGGGGTCTGGAGCAAATGGACACTTGCTCCCAAGCAGAGGCTAGGGCTCCCTCTTTGTCAAAGCCAGACTCACTTGTCCAGGAGTCTAAAGTCTGGGCCAGGGACAGTGGGAGGGCTCTGAAATGGAAAAAACAAGAAACTATGAGGTGTCTTATGCCTAGTTAATAACTCAAGCATCTCTGCCAGCATGTCTTCTCAGATGAGTATAACTGAGAAGTGGACGTTTATGAAAGGGAATAGAGGGTCCCTGTTCTCCTACTGCCTTGTTCCTTCCCTGTTTACTACTACCCAGTTCTACCCCTGCCCTTTTAGTAAGTGTTCTTGTTATGAGTTTCCCTAGGAAACGGAAAAGAAGGTAAGAAAGCTATCCCCACCTGCATTCCAACCTCAATATTCCAAAAGCTCATGATACAGTCAACAGGTCTGAACTATATGAAATCTGCCCCTCCTGGGAGGAGGGTTGCTTGATGTAGACAGCAAAGAGATGAACACCACATCAATTTACTTTCAGCCAATCTTACCAGAGGCTCTCCTTGTACTGCAGTTCAGTGCTGTCAGATGAGAGACAGCACTAGTCTGGTCACCATTAGATGACCCAAAACACATAAAAACATCAAATAGAGCTGAAGCAGAGACAAGAGAGGAACTGAAGACTGCAGCTTTCCATCCTTTATATGTCACTACCCAATCTCAAGATTGAACAAAGTCCAGTGCTTTGAATTCAAAGGACTGCTCTATGTACTGGAGGAGGTAACAGATGCCAAACATGAGAGCATGTGAAAAACAGCAAGGCCTTTGCCACTTTCAAAAGATCTCCCATAAGCCATTAAGCCTAAAGTCCCTATTAAAATTGTTCCTGTAGTCTAAGGTGTTGCACTTAGAAGGTTCCTTACAGTTCAGCCCCTAGTTAAAAATCAGTATGTATTACAAGACAAGAGTATGCCATGGGACCACACCATAAACCACTTGAGTGCAGAAGAGTTTCTGGATGAGCCAGCTGTCATCTTACGATGAGGTTAAATTTTGCTGGGGGGAAGAGAAATGATAATCTTTAAAGGGTCAGGACTAGGGCATAAGTACCGGGCACTGAAAGAAGCAAATAAGGATTATTAAAGACACATTTTGCCCTCCTCCCAGTTTTTCCAGAAGCCGGCTCTTCTGTGGCACCCAAATGACATAATTCTACAACTTCAAACCTGTTTCATCTATATGAAGAAGAACCTGTTTATGGCTTAGAAATCAAGTGTCATAAGATGTATTCACGATAGATTTCAATAGAAATCTATCGTATTTACGATTGATTTCAATAGAAATCAAGTGTCATAAGATGTATTTACGATACCTGGAAAGCACTTGCTCACCATTGGCCCAATTGCAGGGCCCAGGCAGAAGGAACAGTGTAAATACCCTAAGGAGCACCAGGGGAATATGCCTCTTAGAACTGAGTAAGGCCCGGTCGCCCTCTAAGACGGCTTAACTGAGGGGCAACTGTCAGTAATTTGGATGACAAGGTTCCCTGCTGTCAGAACTCTCAACCTTGCCTTTTAGGCTAAGAGGAGCAGGAGTGCACAGCCAGAGAAATCAAGGCTGAATCCAGTTCTTCTACTTATTAACTGAGTACCCTCTGGGCAAAACTTATTCCACTGGGTCCCAGTTTCCTCACTTGTGAAAGAGGATCAATGATTCCCAGGTGCTTAATGAATGTAAAAACATATAGCACATGGTAAACTATTAAGTGATCACTTTTCTCATTAAACGCTGTATGAAGCACTACCCTACACATACTAAACTTTCATGACATATTGCTGTGTCCCCTTCTTCCTCCTTGGATTAGATGATTTCTAAGGCTCTCACATTCTCAGTCCCAATCAGACTCAAGTTTAATATAGAACAATAAATATATCAGATGGCTCTTCTACCCTAACATGAGAAGTTAGCATGAGGTGCATAGGTCTTTTACTTTCCCTAGCCACTCACCCACTCACTACTTAAAACATTCCACTGCAATCTTCACTCAGCCCAGCAGAGACAGGTAGGAGGAGGGGAATGACAATAAAATAAATATTTTTCAGTCAACCACTTTGGGGAAAAGATGAGAGAATTCTTTTGAGAGTTGTTTTCAAATTAAAAAATATTTGCTGTGAGACAATAAAGATACTCCTCTATAAAAAAACTATTTTTAGGGCCTCAGGCTGAAATATACACAAGAAAGAAAAAAGGAGTTAAAAAGAAGAGTGATAATTCTGTCTGTAAAAGTTTAAGCAAAGCCTGTGGAACAACTTAGTTTATGTTCAGCTGTAAAGAGAAAGCTTATGTCCTTCCCAAACTGCTTCTCCAGCCACCTCTCCTTAGTCTGATTTCTGATACAGCTCAGAGCCCTGGTGGGACTAAGGCCTCTGGTGGCTAATCACATGCCTCTTTTTGCCCACTGAAGAGGATGGAAAGACCAGGCTTTGGAAATAGAGCCATTAACTGTAGGGGTCCAGCAACCAACGCTGAGAACCACTGGTTTGTGTGAAAGGCAAGACGATCACTTAGTTCTTATTCATTTTAATTGGCATGAATGGTCACAACATGGCTGCAAGGGGCATTCTTGTTAGAGGCCAAAACCAGACTCTCAAATGAGGCCCAACACAGGAATATAAAAATTGTCTGGAGGAAGAGAATAGAAGGACTCCATGAATCTGATATAACGCCATACTAGAGGCTTTATTTTCTTTCTTTTGTTCCAACAACCCCTTATGTCCCCTACCCCTCCCTTTGGTAAAGAACAGTACAACACCAAAATCCACAGATAATCCTTGAATCTCTGTGGCAGCTCCAGTTCTAAACTCCTCCTTCACAATCATGGTTTAAATGGCTGTTAACAAGTCATAACAAAGATCTCTTTTGCTCCAGGGTAGAATAGCCATATCCTTTCTCTTTCCCCACCCAAATCATAAGCAGCCTAAGTCTACGTCTTCCATGAAGTCTGTGCTGACCACTCCATCCTACAGAGACTACTCATCATCCACCCTCCGGCTCAGAGAATTTGGGGTCCTGCTTGTAGGACCAAGGGGAACTTGGTGGCTCTACTGTTCATGGGGGAGCAGTAGAAATGCAGGATCCCAAGGGCTGGTAAGACCAGGTGAGTTAGAAGTAGCCTAATCAAGGGAATAAGCATGAACAACTGCCATAGGCTGGCATCAAAGCTGGTGAGGAAGGGGGGAGTGGCAGCCTGGAAAGTGAGCCATGTCCATAAACAGGGTAATTCATTACAAAGGCTAGGAAGTGAGGCTGTGAACAGTGGTAGACACTGAATGCCTCATTATGAAGTCCTAGCTCACAGTGTGGTTTGGGGATATGCCCATAAGGTTCAGGCGGGTCACAAAAGATTGGGCACAAGGCATTTAACATGAAATCCATTTCCCTGACATTGACACTCACTACCACAGGTGTCTCTTGTGATACTAACTGGGTACAGACACTTGGCTTTTCCTCCTCTAGACAGGGAACTGCTGCTTGAAGGCAAGTATCCAGATTAATCACTTACAGCCCTGATTAGCAGCCATGTGTCTAAGAAGATTTGTAAAAGGAAGATACAAAGAATTTGTATTTTTCTTCCATTTGCAATACCTCAATCACCTCCTTGGTGAAGACAGTCAGAATTACAGGATTAAAAAAAAAGTGGGGGACATTCTAGGCCCCCAGGTCACAGGCTGTGGAATAAGGGATGATTAGTTCCAGCTGTATGCATGCTGCTCCTCAGGGCATTCCATTCGCCTTGTGGTAATAACAGAGACACTGTGGAAATGTACTGTAGCTGCTCTATCATCCTGTTTTTCTTTTGTGCTTTGCTGGTGTTTAAGAATATGGTTGTTTAACCATACCATAACCCACTACTGATTATACTTCCAGACACGCTGGCTGACCCAAGGTGGCAAGGAGGCGTGACAGCAATCTTCAGAGCCACCCCTTCAGTTGCCAGCCAGCTGCTCAGGGATGCACCATCTCGCTTTGCTGGAGCAGAGCCTTGCTCCCTCCTCTCGTCCCCATGCCCGCCCACACCGCTTTCCCAGAGGTCAGCCACAAGTTCACATCAAGCAACAAGCAGTGATTACAAACTGAGTGCCTGCTGGGAATATCTTTCTAGTGTCAAGCAACCATTAAAAGCACTTAAGGAAATCACAAAAGGGAGGCGAAAGAATACTTACAGAGAGCTATAGGATGGGGAGGGCAGAAGGGAAAGCGTCAGCCCACCTCCTACCTTGGAGGGAAAAACATGACATAAAAAGCAAAGTTGGTTCTAAAGGATGAGCCTGAAAAATGGAAACTGAAGAACACTGTATCTGCCAACCACTCTCCTGCTGCAGCCAAAACACTTCATGGTGCCTGGGAAACCTTTCGCTAACACCGAGAAAATTACTGTGTTTTTTAAAAAATTTATTCAATGAGTATGCATTATAATAGGTATCATTATAATCTCTTGTCCAATTAGGGCTGCATCTCTGTGAAGAAGGCATTATGATTCTCTGTTTTACAGATGTGGAAAATGAGGTTCAGAGGGGTCAGTGACTTGACCACATTTGGATCTCAGGAGTGACTGGCTGCAAAACTCATGTTCTTCCCACTAAAAAGAAGGCTGGGTGGGACTGTGAATCTTGCCAGGCCTCAGTAGCTGTTACTCCTGGGTTAATGAGGTGGTAGTAGTGTAAGTGGTGTGCATTGTGTGGTGGCTTTTCCTGTCCACCTGGTTAAAAGAAGAGTCAACCTATTTATCTTAAGTGAGCCAATGGAGTCTTTGATGGAATCTTTCTTCAGTCTTCTAGTTGTCAATAACCATCTAAAAGGAAAGGACTGGGAACTGAGATAAGCAGATGATGTAACTTTGGGAAAGTCATTTTCCTGAGTTTTAGTTTTCTCATTTGTAAAATGCATCCAGTAAGACCTATGTAATAGAGTAGATGTGAATGCTACTAAAGACTAAAGAGAAACCCTTTTTAAAGTTCTTAATATTACAATGGGCACAAGGGTAATATTTTATAAATAATAGTTGTAACTTGTTTTATTTCAAATTAAAAGTTTTGGAAAATACCTAAGTTTGGTATTAACTTATTCTCATTCAGTAGGAGCTATTTATGGTTGAAAACATTTTTAAAAAATCTTGAGTTCGTTTCATGGCTAAAAACAACCACAACAAAAGAATGGCAGTGAAAGCACAGATGACTCAGGTTAAGGAAATAAAGTGCCACATTCTCTTTGGGGCTGGTTCTCTCTCATGGGTTTCAATCATCTTAGAGCAGACTTATAAGCACAGCAATTGAGAGACTAGAAACCTTTACTATCCAGTATATGCATATGGCAGGGAACCTTGAACGTTTTAGGAGGCAAAAGACATGTGTAGGATGAATTGATGCAAATGGCTTTGCTTCAGTTATATAGGCCCCTGAAGGCACATTTGCTAGAGGAACTCTCTTAAGATGGGCAGCTCCTAGGGAGGGATTCAGGCTGGTTCCCAGGCTTGCCTGCCAGCTTAACTGAGCTGAAAGTAGCAAACTGAAGGAGAATCAGGCTGATACTGTGTTGCCACTCCTGCTGTCCACCATAAAGACTGAACTCTTACCCGAATAGGGGTGCAGAGACCCAGAGGTTCTTCTCAGGTTTTAGCCTCCTACAATTCTGACTCAAAGCTGCTCTGATGGTAAACTGCATCTGTCTTTTGTGCTCTGTCCACAGAAACCTGAAGGCAACGCTGCAGAAGGCACCTTCTATCCATTCTTCTTTCTGCACCCCTTTCAAAAAGGCTTCTAGGTTGAAGCAAGGCTATTCTTGCCCCAGGGCAAATATAAAATGTGCTTTGAATCACCACCCCTGAGGAAATGGTCAACAGTGGGGCCATCTCCTCAGACAAGCAGAGCTCTGAAGGTTTTTGCCGCTTGCTGTTTTCTTTTAGGTGATACAGCAAACATTACTGCTATTTGAATCTGCAAAAATGGAGAATATGGAAGTCAGATTCAATTCAGAGCTAAATTCATTTGTGTTTTAATTAATCCCCTCAAGCAGTATACTTGGTTCTATAGAATTTCCTGTAAAATAGTAAACATTTCAGTCAGTACAGGACAAGTATTTGTAGCTTTTTGGGGTGAAAGAAGCAAAGAACAATACCTTCTTTAAGGTTATTGCACTGGTCTTATCTAGGCTCTATTTCTAGATAGATTTGAGATAACTAGTTCTTTCAAATCTGTCTTTCAGGTATTGACATAAGAGTCAGGTGATGCACCATGTAAAAATTAAGGCTTGAGAGACTGCAAGAGGGAAAAGTACTCATTATGAAACAGAAAATAAAAGATACTGAAATTCTACAACCTAGTTTTTTGTTCCTAGATTTTCAGCAATAAAAACCTGGCAAAATTTAAGATCACTTAAAGATATAGAGAGAAATTTTGCTTCTCCCCAAGCCAAGTTTTAGAATGGTTCTTGCCCTTTTGTGTTAGAGGCAAAATAAACATTTCCAAACCCCTTAATCTATATATGCATGTTGTATATGTGTGTATACACACATACATATACATATATACATACATAAATACACACCCATTCTAAATTCAGTTTGCAATCACTATTCCTTCTTTGATTTGCCTTGAAATTATGGAGTCAGTAATCCTAAAAGAAGTAGACAATTTTTATTAAGAGGCAACTTCTGAATATTTAAAAGATTTAAATAGGTATGGTATAAAAATGTAGTATTTTAAAGAAACTTAGAATACTCTTATATTCTGTAAAACCACCACTTCTCCTTCTTTTAATACACAGAACCCTTGAATAAAAATTCGTAATAATGGATCTTACAAGTTATCTTACCCTTTAGCTGCTCAGATCTCAAGCCTCAGAAATAGTATTTTTGGCACAGATGTATCTGAAAGTATATCACTTCGAGAATCCCCTACAGACAGGCTGAATGTCTGGAGCATTCTGGCCTACATATTGTTTCAAACATAAGAGAGGTCATTTCTTGGATAGCTGAGTACTCCTGCCCTTATCCATAGTTTCAGAGTCTTTGACTATTATCTTCTACGTCATGAACCAACACTTGCCATAAAGGTGAGTTCACATAATTAACCACAAGCCTAGCACATTCTGCTCCCCAGTAGGCCTCTGTCTCACTGTTCACCCTCAACATTGAAGGCCACGTCAGTGTGAGGCTGATAGATGGGGTGACTGCTGCCACCAAGTACATCTGCAACCTTTGCTGGCTGTATATAAGATGGCCAGAAGACCTTGGGGCACCCCAAAACGTGTATCCCTCAATCAGTAGGGCTTTCCCTCTTTCACTTCTAACAAAATCTGACTATAATTTGTGCCCCAAACACCCACTCACAAAGAAACCTGCTTGCACAGGTTCACTGATAGGCATAGTGAATTACCTCCAAAGTGCCCTTCCAGGAAGGGGCTAGGCTCTCATTTCACGCACACAATTCATTCTGACCAAAACATTCTATCTGCTACATGAACACAAAAACATATGCACACACACAAGGCGTCCCTAATTTCCTCTGGAGTAATGGGAGCCTGGGCAATACTTTAAGTATTCATTTTCCAGCATAAATTAGAATGAAGCACTGAAAATACCAGTGACATCTGCATGGATACAAAATGTATTCATTATGGTTGGTGCTATTACAATGAAAGAAAATGTATTCATAATGGCAGCACATTTGAAATAATGTGTTGCTGGATTCTATGTCCATAAAAGCAATAATGAAGAAACAGGAGTGGGTCACATAAATTAAAAGAAGTAACAGGGGTATAGAGTGGCTTCAAGGGCTCTGGGCAACATCAGTGAGGTGGTACATTCGCTGGATCTACAGGGAGAACATTTTGATCATTTAAATCAAAGGGAGGTGAGGCAAGAAGAGCATCAGGCTGACATTCTGGAGAAATGAAGTTTGAATCCTGAGGGCTCTGCTATATACTAGCTTTGTGATCCTGGGGAACTTATGTCAATATCTCCTTATACCTCAGATGTGTTACTCAGATACCTCTATAAAATGAGGACAGCCTACCTTACAGGACTGCATGGGAAGGAAATGAGAGAACATATGTAAAGCACTTAGCATAGAGTCTGGTGTGTAACAAGCATACCTACAACCAATATGAGCTTTTGTTTTTGTTATCAGTGAATAAATGTTCAGCTTTGTGATTTTAGGTATCACCTGGCTCTCCAAATGTTCCTTCTTCTGTAAAGTGGAGCTAATAACACCCACTCTTTCTACCTCACAAACTTATTATAAGGAGGCAAATGAAATTATATATTTGGCAGATACTACTGATTGGCTGACTTAGGCATTCCCAACTCACTCTCCTTGCTAACTTCTACTCCGGAGAAGAGTTAAGTATTTGTGTATCTAGCCTACACTGCAGTTAGGAGTGGCATGTAGCTTTACTTGAGCATATGACACAGAAGGATAAGTCTTCTGGTTTGGTGGTGGTGGTGGGGTGCTCCTTGGGAAAGTGTTTACTTTCCTGATTAATAGAGACATGGTGCTTCTTCTGACCCCTCCCTCATGATTGAACATGGGTATAATACCCAAAGCTGCAGCTCTTTTTCAATCATAAGGCAACAAGCATGAAGGAAATGTCCAGGGAATCTCAGAGACACATGGCAGTCCTGACATCATTAGCCACTAAACCAAAGCCAGATGTCACTCATCTCCAAATTTATTCTGTGAAACAAACATACCTTTATTTACTTATTCTACTGATACCAGAGTTTTCTGTTCCTCAAAACAGAACACAATTCTAACTAATACAATGAGTAAGTACTCTGGAGAATTAAAAGCCCTATACATAAGTATAGGATCTTTCCTCTGCCAAGAATTTCATTCCCTTGGATCCAACTGGCTAATTTATATATGTCCTTTAAGACTGAGATTTAGCAATGTCTCCTCTAGGAAGTTTTCCAAGATCCTACCCCAGCTGGATTAGGATTCCCCCCACCCGCTGGACTTCACAAAGTACTCCATAAACCCCTCTATCAGTACATGTAATATTGTTTTAAAATTATCCATTTACTTGTCTCTTTGCCACATTAGATGGTTAAAATGTATCAACAGCAAGGATCCTTACTTGAGCCATTTATACAATTTCTTAGCACTTGGCATGGCACCTGGTACACAGTAGATAACTCATTAACGATTTGTTGAAATACTGAAAGATGAAAGAATGATCTGAAAGGGCATGAAGTAAAGGATAGCCTATGTGGCCTTATCATTCACTTTTATCTTTAAAACACTACAAACAGCTTTCTAGTTCCCGTTACTGCTTTCAGAGGTTCTAGGTTGGAAAAGCATAGGTCTAGGCAGTGACTTTTATCATTTTAAAAGTTATTCCACTTGATCCATGTTCGAGGTCATAACATTCTCCTACTCCTGGCTCTCTCAATTATTCTATGCCACATATTTAGTCTATTCTTATCTACACAAAAATAACTTTATTTCCTTCCTTGTTTTAGAATTTACTCTTCATGATAACCAAAGACATCTTGGGAAAAGTCCCATTTGGCACTAAAACAAATGTTCACATAATCCAGCAGCTTGCTTCCGAGGTGCCTAAGTTCTATCTGTGTGACTAGGGATCTGGAGGCTTCCCACTGACTCTGGCATATCTGGATCCTGACCATCCCTGAATACAGTGAGTCGCTCCTCAGGCTGAGCCTAAAGTATGTGGTTCTCTCAGCAAACAAATGTAAACTCGCATGTTCTCTCTCCTCCTACAAAGCCAGCTTGTCTCTGGGACTTGTGCAGATCACAGCCTTCTTGAAGTAAGATTACTAGCCCCGCTGCCAAAATACCTAGAAAAATAATAATGCCGAATAATACCATATCATTCAGATTATAAATCAGAAACATGCTTCACTGTTATGCACATTACATTAAAAAAAAAGGCTAAAACGTGAAGTGGTCTGATGGGGTCTGAACTCCCTGCTCCTTTGCCTATAACATTCCCCATGTTCATTTTTGCTTGGATGGCTCCTTTGTTCTGTCAGGTTTCAGCTCAAAAGTGACCTCCTTGGCCCTTTGAACACTTTCCACATTGTAGCTATAGTAGCTTCTTCTCCCCAGTCCCTTTCTACCAAATCACTGTTTCACTTGCTTTCTCACATGACTATCAAAAATTATTTTCTTCATTTAGTGGTTTATTAGTTTTTTTGTCTAGCTCTTCCCACTAGAGTTAAATTCCACCACAGAAGGGATCTCATCTGATTTGTTCACCCTGTATCCTCAGCACCAAGAGCTGTGCCTGGCATAATGTAGGTGCTTAATAAATAGAGTTGAAAATGAATAAAAAGAAAGAAGGCAGCATGTGTTCACTGAGTCGATCCATTTTGATTGCCTTAAGTTTCCTTTTCAGACTGAGGGTGGGGGTGGGGCTGATGGGTACTATGTATTTAATATGTGTAGGGGTGATGGGGATGGCTTTGAGATGCTATGTGGAATTGTAGAAAGAGTCCTGATCTTGCCACTTACAACATGTATGAATATTGGCACATATTCCTTTATCTCTCTGAGATTCGGTTTGTCATCTGTTTAGTGAATTTTCTCAGAGGATCAGTGTTACAATTAAATGAGACCGTGATAGCATACAATATCTGTTAGTTCCCCTCTGCCTGTCCTTAAGGCTCTAAAAAGCAATGTAGAATCCCTAAGAAAGTGGCCAATGCTTCTAGCAGTCACCTTAGCAACTGTTAAAATTCTTCAGGGAGATAATCTCAAGCTGCTGTATAAGGGAGTCTAGCCTACAGCCAATTCTGAAGTCCTGAGTACATTCTCAAAACACTAAGCATGAGTCTACCTTGCAAGGACATTAGAGATTTATTCTTCTCTTCTTAACCTTACATCAACTTATATTAAACTGGGGCTGATGTTATCCCACAGAGGTAGGCTTATAAATCTATTTTAAATAACTCTGGGTGCTGATTCTGCCACATGTACTTCCTCTGGTCTCATCCTGCAAGGTATTCAAAGCCATCAAAAATAATCTGTGGTCCTCAGAATTTAAAAAAAAACTATTCTAAAATTAGTATATAACCAAAAAGGAGCCCAGATAGCTAAAGCAATCCTAAGCAAAAAGAACAAAGCTGGAGGCATCATATTACCTGACTTCAAACTATACTATAAGGCTATAGTAACCAAAACAGTATGGTAATGATACTGAAACAGACATACCGATCAATGGAACAGAATAGAGAACCCAGAAATAAAGCTGCACACCTATAGCCATCTGATCTTTGACAAAGTAAAAAAAAAAAAAAAAATAGGCAAAGGGGAAAGATCTCCCTATTCAATAAATGGTGTTGGGATAGCTCACTAGCCATATACAGAAGAATGAAATTGGATACCTACCTTTTACCATATACAAAAAAAAACTCAGATTAAAGATTTAAACACAAGACCCCAAACTCTAAGACTCCTAGAAAAATGCCTAGGAAACACCATCCTGGACATCGGTCTTGGCAAAGAATTAATGACTAAGCCCTCAAAAGCAATTGCAACAAGAATGAGAAGTGGGATCTATTAATAATTAAACTAAAGAGCTTTTGGACAGATAAGATGGGAGAGGAGGGGATGGCTGAATAGGAACAGCTCCAGTCTACAGCTCCCAGCGTGAGCAATAGAAGACGGGTGATTTCTGCATTTCCAACTGAGGTACCAGGTTCATCTCACTGGGGCTTGTCGGACAGTGGGTGCAGCTCACGGAGTGTGAGCTGAAGCAGGGTGGGGCATTGCCTCACCCAGGGAGCACAAGGGGTCAGGGAATTCCCTTTCCTAGCCAAGGGAAGACATGACAGATGGTACCTGGAAAATCGGGACACTTGCACCCTAATACTGCGCTTTTCCAACGGTCTTAGCAAATGGCACACCAGGAGATAATATCCCGTGCCTGGCTCAGAGGGTCCCATGCCCACAGAGCCTCGCTCACTGCTAGCAAGCACAGCAGTCAGAGATCGAATTGCAAGGTGGCAGCAAGGCTGGGGGAGGGCATCCACTTGCTGAGGCTTGAGTGGCAAACAAAGCAGCTGGGAAGCTCGAACTGGGTAGAGCCCACTGCAGCTCAAGGAGGCCTGCCTGCCTCTGTAGACTCCACCTCTGGGGGCAGGGCATAGCTGAACAAAAGGCAGCAGAAACAAGCAGACTTAAGTGTCCCTGTCTGACAGCTTTGAAGAGAGTAGTGGTTCTCCCACAACGGCGTTTGAGATCTGAGAATGGACAGACTGCCTCCTCAAGTGGGTCTCTGACCCCTGAGCAGCCTAACTGGTAGAGAACTCCCAATAGGGGGCTGACCGACACCTCATACAGCCAGGTGCCCCTCTGAGATGAAGCTTCCAAAGGAAGGATCAGGCAGCAACATTTGCCATTCTGCAGCCTCCACTGGTGATACCCAGGCAAACAGGGACTGGAGTGGACCTCCAGCAAATTCCAACAGACCTGCAGCTGAGGGTCCTGACTGTTAGAAGGAGAACTAACAAACAGAAAGGACATCCACAACAAAACCCCATCTGTACGTCACCATCATCAAAGACTACAGGTAGATAAAACCACAAAGATGGGGAGAAACCAGAGCAGAAAATCGAAAAATTCTAAAAATTAGAGCACCTCTTCTCCTCTAAAGGAACGCAGCTACTTGCCAGCAACAGAACAAAGCTGGATGGAGAATGACTTTGACGACTTGAGAGAAGAAGGCTTCAGACGATTGGTAATAACAAACTTCTCTGAGCTAAAGGAGGATGTTTGAACCCATCGCAAAGAAGCTAAAAACCTTGAAACAAGGTTAGATGAATGACTAACTGAATAAATAGTGTAGAGAACACCTTAAATGACCTGATGGAGCTGAAAACCACGGCACGAAAACTACGTGACAAATGCACCAGGTTCAGTAGCTGATTTGATCAAGTGGAAGAAAGGGTATCAGTGATCGAGGATGAAATGAATGAAATGAAGCCAGAAGAGAAGTTTAGAGAAAAAAGAGTAAAAAGAAACGAACAAAGCCTCCAAGAAATATGGGACTATGTGAAAAGACCAAATCTACATCTGATTGGTGTACCTCAAAGTGATGGGGAGAATGGAACCAAGTTGGAAAACACTCTTCAGGATTTTATCCAGGAGAACTTCCCCAGCCTAGCAAGGCAGGCCAACATTCAAACTCAGGAAATACAGAGAATGCCACAAAGATACTCCTTGAGAACAGCAACTCCAAGACACATAATTGTCAGACTCACCAAAGCTGAAATGAAGGAAAAAATGTTAAGGGCAGCCAGAGAGAAAGGTCGGGTTACCCACAAAGGGAAGCCCATCAGACTAACAGTGGATCTCTGGGCAGAAACCCTACAAGCCAGAAGAGAGTGGGGGCCAATATTCAAAATTCTAAAAGAAAAGAATTTTCAACCCAGAATTTCATATCCAGCCAAACTAAGCTTCATAAGTGAAGGAGAAATAAAATCCTTTACAGAGAAGCAAATGCTGAGAGATTTTGTCACCACCAGGCCTGCCTTACAAGAGCTCCTGAAGGAAGCATTAAACATGGAAAGGAACAACCTATGGTACCAGCCACTGCAAAAACATGCCAAATTGTAAAGACCATCGATGCTAGGAAGAAATGCATCAACTAACGAGCAAAATAACCAGCTAACATCATAATGACAGGATCAAATTCACACATAACAATATTAACCTTAAATGTAAATGGGCTAAATGTTCCAATTAAAAGACACAGACTGGCAAACTGGATAGAGTCAAGACCCATCAGTGTGCTGTATTCAGGAGACCCATCTCACATGCAGAGACACACATAGGCTCAAAATAAAGGGATGGAGGAAGATCTACTAAGCAAACGGAAAACAAAAAAAAGCAGGGGTTGCAATCCTAGTCTCTGATAAAACAGACTTTAAACCAACAAAGATCAAAAGAGACAAAGAAGGCCACTACATAATGGTAAAGGGATCAATTCAACAAGAAGAGCTAACTATCCCAAATATATATGCACCCAATACAGGAGCACCCAGATTCATAAAGCAAGTCCTTAGAGACCTACAAAGAGACTTAGACTCCCTCACAATAATAATGGGAGACTTTAACACCCCACTGTCAACATTAGACAGATCAACGAGACAGAAGGTTAACAAGGATATCCAGGACTTGAACTCAGCTCTGCACCAAGCAGACCTAATAGATATCTACAGAACTCTCCACCCCAAATCAACAGAATATACATTCTTCTCAGCACCACATCGCACTTATTCCAAAATTGACCACATAGGTGGAAGTAAAGCATTCCTCAGCAAATGTAAAAGAACAGAAATTGTAACAAACTGTCTCTCAGACCACAGTGCAATCAAACTAGAACTCAGGATTAAGAAACTCACTCAAAACCACTCAACTATATGGAAACTGAACAACCTGCTCCTGAATGACTACTGGGTGCACAACGAAATGAAGGCAGAAAGCTGTTCTTTGAAACCAATGAGAACAAAGACACAACATACCAGAATCTCTGGGACACATTTAAAGCAGTGTGTAGAGGGAAATTTATAGCACTAAATGCCCACAAGAGAAAGCAGGAAAGATCTAAAATTGACACCCTAACATCACAATTAAAAGAAGTAAAGAAGCAAGAGCAAGCACATTCAAAAGCTAGCAGAAGGCAAGAAATAACTAAGATCAGAACAGAACTGAAGGAGATAGAGACACAAAAAACCCTTCAAAAAAATCAATGAATCCAGGAGCTGGTTTTTTGAAAACATCAACAAAATTGATAGACCGCTAGAAAGACTAATACAGAAGAAAACAGAAGAATCAAATAGACACAATAAAAAATGATGAAGAGGATATCACCACTGATCCCACAGAAATACAAACTACCATCAGAGAATACTATAAACAACTCCACGCAAATAACTAGAAAATCTAGAAGAAATGCATAAATTCCTGGACACATACACCCTCCCAAGACTAGAAGTTGAATCCCTGAATAGACCAATAACAGGCTCTGAAATTGAGGCAATAATTAAGAGCCTACCAACCAAAAAAAGTCCAGGACCAGATGGATTAACAACCAAAATCTACCAGAGGTACAAAGGGGAGCTGTACCAGTCCTTCTGAAACTATTCCAATCAATAAAAAGAGAGGGAATCCTCTCTAACTCATTTTATGAGGCCAGCATCATCCTGATACCAAAGCCTGGCAGAGACACAACAAAAAAAGAGAATTTTAGACCAATATCCTTGATGAACATCGATGCAAAAATCCTCAATAAAATACTGGCAAACCGAATCCAGCAGCACATCAAAAAGCTTATCCACCATGATCAAGTGGGCTTCATCCCTGGGATGTGAGGCTGGTTCAACATACGCAAATCAATAAACATAATCCAGCATATAAACAGCACCAAAGACAAAAACCAAATGATTATCTCAATAGATGCAGAAAAGGCCTTTGACAAAATTCAACAGCACTTTATGCTAAAAACTCTCCATAAACTAGGTACTGATGGGATGTATCTCAAAATGGTAAGAGCTATTTATCACAAACCCACAGCCAATATCATACTGAATGGGCAAAAACTGGAAGCATTCCCTTCGAAAACTGGCACAAGACAGGGATGCCCTCTCTCACCACTCCTATTCAACATAGTGCTGGAAGTTCTGGCCAGGGCAATTAGGCAGGAGAAAGAAATAAAGAGTATTCAATTAGCAAAAGAGGAAGTCAAATTGTCCCTGTTTGCAGATAATATGATTGTATATTTAGAAAATCCCATTGTTTCAGCCCAAAATCTCCTTAAGCTGATAAGCAACTTCAGCAAAGTCTCAGGATACAAAATCAATGTGTAAAAATCACAAGCATCCCTATACACCAATAACAGACAAACAGAGAGCCAAATCATGAGTGAACTCCCATTCACAATTGCTTCAAAGAGAATAAAATACCTAGGAATCCAACTTACAAGGGATGTGAGGGACCTCTTCAAGGAGAACTACAAACCACTGCTCAATGAAATAAAAGAGGACACAAACAAATGGAAGAACATTCCATGCTCATGCATAGGAAGAATCAATATCATGAAAATGGCCATACTGCCCAAGGTAATTTATAGATTCAATGCCATCCCCAATCAAGCTACCAATGACTTTCTTCACAGAAGTGGAAAAAACTACTTTAAAGTTCATATGGAACCAAAAAAGAGCCCACATTGCCAAGACAATCCTAAGCCAAAAGAACGAAGATGGAGGCATCACGCTACCTGACTTCAAACTATACTACAAAGCTCCAGTAAGCAAAACAGCATGGTACTGGTACCAAAACAGAGATATAGACCAATGGAACAGAACAGAACCCTAAGAAATAATACCACACATCTACAACCATCTGATCTTTGACAACCCTGACAAAAACAAGCAATGGGGAAAGGATTCCCTATTTAATAAATGGTGCTGGGAAAACTAGCTAGCCATATGTAGGAAGCTGAAGCTGGATCCCTTCCTTACACCTTATACAAAAATTAATTCAAGATGGATTAAAGACTTACATGTTAGACCTAAAACCAAAAAACCCTAGAAGAAAACCTAGGTAATACCATTCAGGACATAGGCAGGGGCAAGGACTTCATGATTAAAACACCAAAAGCAATGGCAACAAAAGCCAAAATTGACAAATGGGATCTAACTAAACTAAAGAGCTTCTGCACAGCAAAAGAAACTACCATCAGAGTGAACAGGCAACCTACAGAATGGGAGAAAATTTTTACAATCTACCCATCTGACAAGGTGCTAATATCTAGAATCTACAAAGAAGTTAAACAAATTTACAAGAAAAAAATCAACCCCATCAAAAAGTGGGTGAAGGATATGACAGACACTTTTCAGAAGAAGACATTTATGCAGCCAACAGACACGTGAAAAAATGCTCATCATCACCGGCTATGAGAGAAATGCAAATCAAATCTACAATGAGATACCATCTCACACCAGTTAGAATGGCAATTATTAAAAAGTCAGGAAACAACACGTGCTGGAGAGGATGTGGAGAAATAGGAACACTTTTACACTGTTGGTGGGACTGTAAACTAGTTCAACCATTGTGGAAGACAGTTTGGCGATTCCTCAAGGATTTAGAACTAGAAATACCATTTGACCCAGCCATCCCATTACTGGGTATATACCCAAAGGATTATAAATCATGCTGCCATAAAGACACATGCACGCATATGTTTATTGTGGCACTATTCACAATAGCAAAGACTTGGAACCAACCCAAATGTCCATCAATGATAGACTGAATAAAGAAAATGTGGCACATATACACCACGGGATACTATGCAGCCATAAAAAAGGATGAGTTCTTGTCCTTTGTAGGGACATGGATGAAGCTGGAAACCATCATTCTGAGCAAACTATCGCAAGGACAGAAAACCAAACACCGCACGTTCTCACTCATAGGTAGGAACTGAACAATGAGAATGCTTGGACACAGGGTGGGGAACACCACACACCGGGGCCTGTTGTGGGGTAGGGGGAGAGGGGAGGGATAGCACTGGGAGATATATCTAATGTAAATGACGAGTTAATGGGTGCAGCACACCAACATGGCACATGTATATATATGTAACAAACCTGTACCTTATGCACATGTACCCTAGAACTTAAAGTATAATAATTAAAAAAGAGCTTCTGTACAGCAAAATAAACTATCCACCGAGTAAACAGCCTGCAAAGTGGGAGAAAATATTTGCAAACTATGCATCTGACAAAGGTCTAACATCTGGAATCGATAACAAACTTGAACAATTCAACAAGCAAAGAACAAGTAACTCCATGAAAAAGTGGGCCAAAGACATGAATAGATACTTCTTTAAAAAAAAGGCACCTGTATTAGTCTGTTTTGACACTGCTGACAAAGACATAACCGAGACTGGCAAGAAAAAGAGGTTTAATTGGACTTAACAGTTCCACATGGCTGGGGAGGCCTCAGAATCATGGCGGGAGGCAATGGCACTTCTTACATGGTGGTAGCAAGAGAAAATGAGGAAGATGCCAAAGCGGAAACCCCTGATAAAACCATCAGATCTTGTGAGCCTTATTCACGACCATGAGAATAGCATGGGGGAAACCACCTCCATGATTCAAATTATCTCCCACCAGGTCCCTCCCACAACACATGGGATTATGCGAGTAAAATTCAAGATGAGATTTGCATGGGGACACAGAGCCAAACCATCTTTCTGCCCTTGTCCCCTTTAAATCTCAAGTCCTCACATTTCAAAACCAATCATGCCTTCCCAACAGTCCCCCAAAGTCTTAACTTATTTCAGCATTAACGCAGAAGTCCACAGTCCAAAGTCTTATCTGAGACAAGACAAGTCCCTTCCACCTATGAGCCTGTAAAATCAAAAGCAATTTAGTTACTTCCTAGATACAATGGGGGTACAGGCACACTGAGTTCTACCTGTGTGACATGGGTAAATACAGCCATTCCAAATGGGGGAAATTGGCCAAAACAAAGGGGCTACCAGCCCCATGAAAGTCTGAAATCCAGCAGGGCAGTCAAATCTTAAAGCTCCAAAATGATGTCCTTTGATGCCATGTCTCAAATCTGGGTCATGCTGATGCAAGAGGTGGGTTCCCATGGTCTTGGGCAGCTCTGCCCTTGTGGCTTTGCAGGGTATAGCCTCCCTACCAGCTGCCTTCATGGGCTGCCATTGAGTGTCTGTGACTTTTCCAAGTGCATGGTGCAAGCTGTCGGTGATCTACCATTCTGGGGTCTGGAGGATGGTGGCCCTCTTCTCACAGCTCCACTAGGCAGTGCCCCAGTAGGGACTCTGTGTAGGGGCTCCAACCCCACATTTCTCTTCTGCACTGCCTAGCAGAGGTTCTCCATGAGTACCCCGCCCCTGCAGCAAACTTATGCCTGGGCATCCAGGCATTTCAATACATCTTCTGAAATCTAGGTGGAGGTTCTCAAACTTTAGTTCTTGACTTCTGTGCACTCACAGGCTCAACACCATGTGGCAGCTGTCAAGGCTTGCGGCTTACACCCTCTGAAGCCAAGGCCCGAGCTCTACGTTGGCCCCTTTCAGCCATGGCTGGAGTGGCTGGGGCACAGGGCACCAAGTTCCTAGGCTGCACACAGCACAGGGACACTGGGCTGACCAAGGAAACCATGTTCTCCTAGACCTCTGGGCCTGTGATGGGAGGCCCTGCTGTGAAGACCTCTGACAAGCCTTGGAGATATTTTCCCCATTGTCCTGGGGATTAACATTCGGCTCCCCTTATGCAAATTTATGCAGACGGCTTGAATTTCTCCTCAGAAAAATGGGTTTTTCTTTTCTATCACATTGTGAGGCTGCAAATTTTCCAAACTTTCATGTTCTGTTTGCCTTTTAAAACTAAATGCTTTTTTTTTTTTTTCTTTTTTGAGACAGAGTCTCGCTCTCTCACCCTGGCTGGAGAGCAGTGGCATGATCTTGGCTCACTGCAACCTCTGTCTCCCACCTTCAAGCGATTCTCTTGCTTCAGCCTCCCAAGTAGCTGAGATTACAGGCATCTGACAACAAGCCCAGCTAATTTTTGTATTTTTAGTAGAGACGGGGGTTTCACTATGTTGGCCAGGCTAGTCTCCAACTCCTGACCTCATAATCCGCCCACCTTGGCCTCCCAAAGTGCCGGGATTACAGGCATGAGCCACCGTGCGCATCCAAAACTAAATGCTTTTAATGGCACCCAAGTCACCTTTTGAACACTTTGCTGCTTAGAAATTTTTTTCCACTAGATACCCTAAATCATCTCTCTCAAGTTCAAAGTTCCAAAAATTTCTAGGGCAGGGGCAAAATGCCACCAGTCTTTTTGCGAAAACATAACAAGAGTCACCTTTGCGCCAGTTTCCAACAACTTCCTCATCTCCATATGAGACCACCTCAGTCTGGACCTTATTGTTCATATCACTATCAGCATTTTTGTCAAAGCCATTCAACAACTCTCTAGGAAGTTCCAAACTTTCCCACATTTCCCTGTCTTCTTGTGAGCCCTCCAAACTGTTCCAACCTCTGCTTGTTACCCAGTTCCAAAGTCGCTTCCACATTTTCAGGTATCTTTTCAGCAACGCCCCGCTCTATTGGTACCAATTTACTCTATTAGTCCATTTTCACGCTGCTGATAAAGACATAACTGAGACTGGGAAGAAAAAAGAGAGTTAATTGGGCTTAGCGTTCCACATGGCTGGGGAGGCCTCAGATTCACGGCAGGAGGCAAAAGGTACCTCTTACACGGTGGTGGCAAGAGAAAATGAGATGAAAGATCTCGTGAGACTTATTCGCTACCACAAGAACAGTATGGGGGAAACTGCCCCCATAATTCAAATTATCTCCCACTGGGTCCCTCCTACAACACATGGTAATTATGGGAATAGAATTCAAGATGAGATTTGGGTGGGGACACAGAGCTAAACCATATCAACATCCAAGCGGCCAACAAACATATGGAAAAATGTTCAACATTACTAATCCTCAGAGAAATGCAAGTCAAAACCACAATGAGATACCATCTCACACCAGTCAGAATTGCTATTATTAAAAGGTCAAAAAACAACAGATGCTGGTGAGGCTATGGAGAAAAGGAAATGTTTATACACAGTTGATGGGAATGTAAATTAGTTTAGCCACTGTGGAAAGCAGTTAAAGAGCTTAAAACAGAATTATTATTCAACCCAGCAATCCCATTACTGGGTATATATCCAATACAAAATAAATCATTCTACCAAAAAGTTACATGCGCTCTTAGTTCATCACAGCACTATTCCCAATAGCAAAGACATGGAATCAACCTTGTGTGCCCATCAGCAGTGCACTGGATAAAGCAAATATGATACAAAGACACCATGGAATACTATGTAGTCATAAAAAGAACAAAACCATGTCCTTTGCAGCAGTATGGATACAGCTGAAGGTCATTATCCTAAGTGAATTAACACAGGAACAAAAACCAAATACTGCATATTCTCATTTGTAAGTGGGAGCTGAATACTGGGTACACACAGACATAAAGATGGCAATAATAGACACTAGGGACTACTAGACGGGGAAGGGAGTGGGGCAAGGGTTGAAAAACTATTAGGTACTACACTCACTACCTGGGTGATAGGATCAATTGTACCCCATACCTCAGCATCATGCAATATATTAATGTAACAAATGAAGCAAGTGTACCTCTTGAACCTAAAATAAAAGTTGAAATTATAAAAAAAATAAATAAATTCATAGTCCTTAGGCCTGCTGGAGACACTTTTGGTGACATCATCCATTGCAGTTATTTGTCTGAATACATCTAATTCCTTACACTCAATTTGTTCAATTTATTTGTTAATTCAACAAGCATCAATTGAGAGCCAACTGTATGTCCAGCCCTAGTAATAAGAGTTACCAGGTATTTGGCAGTTATTAAATGTTATGGATTGGAACTAAGCCCCTTATAATCACTGGGTCATTCAAACCTCACTGTATCCCATAAGTACTATTAATTATCCCCCTTTTAAAGACAAGAAAACAGAAGCTGAAGAGTTTACATAAACTACATCAGTACTCTAACCTAGGTCTTTCTGATACCAAATCCCATGCTGTTAATCTCCACATTCTAATAAGTCCTGAACATGCACATCAGAATGCTGGATGCTTTGTAAATTAAAAAGAAACAAGGCTAGACTGTGACCTCCCTCAGGGTGCGAGCACCATAAGACTCCTCTGCATTTCCAGCCCCCAAAACAATGCCAACTGTGAACTGATGAGAATGTGGCTCTTGTCAAACAGACCTATTTACATGAAAGACATAAAATAACAACATAAGAAAAAAGTCCCAAGACACAAAGCTGTACAGAGTACAAAAGATGTGAGTGATCACAGACGGAAAATGGGTTTTACTCCATAGCCAAACAAGATGATGAGGAGTCTGAGCTAGCCCAGGAATCACAGACTCACATGCTTACTGAGCCTGACAGGTAATATACATCAATGAACTGGGTCAGGTGGAGGCTGTGGGAAACTGGAAAAAGCACGTGGTTCATCTAAGTAACAACCCGGTTCCAGCTGGTTATTGTCATGGACAAATGTGGATCCACTAATGCCAGAACTTTTGAATTTTGAAAAGAAGCTTAAACATCTGCTTTTTGATGTGACATTTTCTAATTTTTAAATGTTTGTCAGGAATTTATAAATTAAAAAACACCACCATTTTATTAGCCAAACAAAATGCATCTTTAGGCCAGAATTGGCTGATGACCCATCAATTTGCAGTCTTCAAATCTGACTATATTTCATATATTTTTTACCATCAAGAACACCCATTTACCCTCCCCATGAGCTTCAGAATCTGAAAGACTTTGTCTAACCAAAAGCATTTTTGAGTGTTTAATTAGTTTTATTACATACATCAATAACTGACAAACTAGGTCACCATGGGAGAAAAACAGTTAACTGTAAGCAAAGAAACATGCCATTTTTGTTACCAAGTATAAACTTGTTGCAACTAAATATAAGATTTTCCATTAAAGTTTTTGAAATAATGAAAATGGCACATAGAATTCATTTCTATCTTCAGGGATCCCCTTGAATCCTTCAGGGATCCAAGGGCCATGATTAGAAATTACTGCACTAAGCAAGTGGGCTATGAGATCTGGTAGCCGTGAGGCATATTGGGAAAAATGTGGAATTTGGAAACAGACAGAACTGGGTTGAGTGCGAACCCTCAACTTCTAGCTGTGTGACCTTCAACTAGCTGTGTGACCTTCAACAAATTATTTAGCTTCTTTTACTTATTTTCAAAGTGAGAATAATCCCACCTACCTTGTACAGCTACCATGAACAGTAAATTAAATTAAGTATGCAAGCTACTTTGCATGGTACCTGCCACATAGCAGGGGATTAAATAATAAAACTTTCTTAAATTCAATTCTACAGTCTACACTCAAAGTTTGAATCCAAGTTAAACATTCTCTTTGGGCTACCCACAATCAAATCATTGAGTTTTAAATCCCCATTCCCCGTCTAAGTTTCCTTTAGGCCTTTAGTCCGCTATGCCTTGGGCAGTGCTCTCTTTCCCCAAAGGTCCCTCTATGTGATTCAGTGAATGTTATAACTGCAACAGAGGGCTGTGAGCAGCCTTACAAACTAACCGTGGTTTTAGAAAGAAGTCCCCCTAACCTTCTGATTAAAATTTCCACTGCAGCTGCCACTTGGGGCCAAGGACCATCAGGGGCCTACATAGTTACCACTATAGGCACCATTTAGTGAGCATCTATGTGCTAGGCCCTGTCCTAGGGGATCACATATCTGCACTATTATCTGCATTGCATGGATGAAACATCTGAAAAGTTCACAGAGGTTAAGTAATTTCCCAAGGTCATATCCACTAAAAAATAGTTAATGTGGGATTTGATTTTTGAATTCGTGTCTGTATAACTTCAAAGCCCATGGTCCTTCCATTACATCAAGTTGCCTCTCTTCAAATAATACATCTGAAGTGGTAAACATATATATGTATATATATATACAACTTTTTTTCCCACAGAGAAAGAACATTATTCTCATAATATTTCCTCATTATCCCACCACAGCACAGAGACATAATACAACCACAGAAAAGACAAAGAAAAAGAGCTGGCAGCACCTCCAACCTCCCCTCTCCTTAATTCTCCATCCTGGAACAGAGTAGTAGTACTGAGGATTATCTATTGCATACCTAACCTGTGACTGACAGAGGAGGGCCAGGTAAGGTGATCTTGTATGTTCACAAGTTTGGTCTTTTCTTTGTTCTTATCCACACCAAGTAAAGATGATCCTCAGTTAAATCACATTTGTGGTCCATGTTTTTCTTTCACCATCACCATCTAACTAAAAGAAGCACCCCGATAACAGCCCATTTAATACCACTATAATGATTAAAATAATTTCAGCTAAAAAATGAAAGGTCCTCTATCATGCCTGGAGGCCATACTGACACACACACATTGATGTAGGAGCATGCACCCATTTGTTTCCATTACGTCTTTCATTCAAGGAACTTCACATGCTTGATGACAGTCTGAGAGCCAGAGCACCAGAAACGTGTTGTTTACGAATCTTGCCTAAAACCATGACTTGACTTGGATGAGCAGATATCAGAGAATCTATTCCTTAGTACTTCATGCTAAATGTCAGACAAGCCAAAAATCAACCTTTGTTTCCATCTCTAACATAATTTGTTAATAATTGAACTCATTTGCACAGTGCTTTACTATTCACAAAGTCATTCCACACACATTTATCATGTGCCCCTTGTAAGTATCCAGGGAGGCTGGTGAGGCACAAGTCAACCTCATTTTTTGAATCAGGGAAGAGAGGTTCTAAGATGTTGGAGCTTATTCATGGTCACTGAATTAGTAAGAGATGGAACTAATAAATCCAGTGACTCCAAATTCTTGGTTTTTCTCATATATCCCGGCCTGCCGAGGCCAAAGCAAGTGAGAAACAGGGGTAAGAACTATGTGCTGGATGAATAATCACTACTCAGTTTATCTGCAAAATGCTACACATGGAAGAAGTAGAATTTGTTTTGGAATGGACACTGAATGTGGGCATGTAGGAGCACTCTGTTGTCCAACTATGAAAAACTTTCGTTAAGAAAATCTCAACTGTCATCTTAGATTGTACGCTGGTTTGTCTCTCTAGGGAAATAAAGCAGAGTATCATTCAATTCTGCCTACCTTTCCCAATTTACCCTTCTGCTCTACCCTGGCCTTGGGGAGGAGAAGCCCTATATAACCAGATAAATTCCCAACCCCAACACACGCATACTTTTTTACTGTAGCTGACTGGACTAGGTATGCCCACCTAACTCAAGCAGCTAATTAACGGACAGATGAATTGGCTGGGTTTTCTTTTGAGACAGTGTTAAGATAAGGGTAAATGTGCATCAGAGAACTGCAGGGCATGGGCCAAAGTGATGCCAGTGCAAGCTGAAATTACATAGGAAGAAGAGAGACACAAGTAAAAAGAGGAGGCTGTTCTGGAAGGTAGAGAGTGATGCAAAAAGGAGAAAGAGAAAAAGAGAAGAAAGAAGACTGTGAGAGTAATCTCTGGTTGTAAGCAATTCCTACTCCTGTCTCCACCAGGCACAGAAATACTTGCTTTTATTGGGTCTTATGAAATGTACCATATCCTTTCCTTACCACTCTGTGTTGATTGAACTAGTTTGGATGGATTTTGGTTTCTTACAATTAGTCTCCGACAAACACAGTAAGAAACAGGAGACATAGTTATACCAAAGAAGAACTGAAAGAATAGGGGATGGTTAAAAAGAAACTAAATTTTGTTCTATCAGATTGCACAGAAAGAGCAGGAGAGAATGAATAAACAAATGAATGAATGAGTGAAACATCAAGACTGAAAGGCTTCAAATTATGGCTGCCTCAGAATATGCCAAGTTTACTTCTTTTATACCCAAGCTTTGCCTAGAACCAGAAGGATAAATGCTGGCAAAACCCTCTCCTTGCAAAATAAAGCACAATGCTGACAAAGGACTTAAATAGTGAGGCAATGCACACTTTCCCCTTAACCATAGTTCTAAAATCTCCTTGTAACTAACAGAGCTTACCATTAGGATGTCCATTCTCTACCTGTCACCATTCAACTTACTGTTGTACAGTTCTTTTCAAGTCACTGGTCGGAATGAGTCAACATCTGTGAAATCTTCCTTGATTCCTAGGAAGAACTAGTCATATTTTACTCTGCTTCCCATAGCACTTAACACATTTCTCTATGTGGGTTCTCATACTGGTAGATTATAATTCTTTGTTCAGGAATTTCATTTCTCAACTGGGCTATGATGCCTTGAAAGCAAGGCCCCTGGCTTATTCTTTTTCTCTGTTGTGCCTCATACAGTATCTGGTATACATGTTTGTGGAATAAATCAAGGCCCATGAGCTCTGTCTCATGACAGAGGTCCTGAAAATAATTATTAAGATTTAAATTTTTTCTGTAACGAATCAACTGGGATTGCAACTATGCACACAAATGGCTTAGCCATTTCAACTGAGTTGGCCTCTCATTTTAGAAACAAACAAACAACAAAAAAAAGTCTTTCGATATCATGTCAGAATTTATTAAGTACTTTCCAGTTGAAAAGTTTTATTACAAAACACTATATGGGATATGGAATAGGGATGGGTATGAGAAGGAGGTTTTTTTTTAAAAAAATTAAGTACAACATTCATCTTCAGAGAGCTCATACTGCATAATAAATTTAATACTGAGAAGTCAAAGTAATCATTTAACTGAAAAGACCATCTGAAATGGTTAAAATGCCAGGATATAAAGCTGGACTGTTTCCTGGAAGCACAGTTTATGGGTCAAGCATATACTGGTTGATGGCCACTCAGCTTTGTAAACTACTTCCTACGATGCAAGGTGCAAACCGTCTTCCTCTTTGATAATTGTACTCTCCTACTGGCAAAGCTGGGAAAGAGGGATAGGAAACCATTAACAACTGTGATGTGATGCCGAACGGGTTCTGCCAAAGGTCATGGTGTCACTTATTTACTAGATTCTCCAATTTCAAACAGGAAGAGCAGAAACTAAGCAGCTAAACTGTGATCAAGGTACTACTTTTGCTAATGGAGACCCAACTAATAAAGTACAGTGCTGACTTACATGGACTGGTGTCAGAGGCTATAGCAGGTGTTTTCTGCCGCCTCTCCGACTAAATTAATGTTATCTAAATCCCAGGGGAAAAGTGACCTGAAAGAGAAGTTGAAAGAAAGACCTGTCTGGGTTTATCAGAGGCAATTCCATCCTAATCTGCTTACTGTAATGGTGAGCAGAAGGAAGGCCCACCCTGCCTGAACTAGGTGATCAAAGAAAGCAAAAGAAAAGGATAAGACCATGTTGTCTTTTTGGAGCAGGAGTTGTTAACACATTAACTCTGTACAACAAAGAGGGACCAAATGATTGCCAGACTCTAACCAATGAGACAAGTTGCTCCTCTTCCCATGAGAAGGAGCAAGCAAGAGATAAAAGAGAGGAAGAAGCATGCCCTTGAGAAGAAGAAAGAGTTGGCCAAAGTTTCTGATTCTGTGGATATGTGGGAATAGGGGAACATAAAGTTTCTCTCCAAACAGACCTCCTGGCTAACATCTGTGAAGATGTTATCATACTGCAAAATATGCTAATGGAAGCATATAAAGATGCCAAGATACCAAAGACACTGGAAAGGCGTTGTACACAAGGCTGCATTAGTTCCACGACCTCCAGGCCCTGTGTCTTCCCAAGGATCCCACCTTGGAGATGAAGAATAAATTCTATCTCCTTTCTGGATTCACAATCAAGCCAAGGAGAAAGCGAAGGCTACGAGCAAAGGCAAAAAGGAAAGGCACACAACCCAATAGAAGCAGACAAATGCAAAACTAGGTTTTTGTAACATCTTTCTCTCGAAATTAATTTAGCCTCCCAATAGCACCACTCCCAGTAGTGTGTGGTCTTCCAGAACAAAGACCTTGGAGTTTTAGAGCCAGAGGAATAGAGCTGGAAGGAACCTTAGGGACCACATCAAACTCAGGACTCTCATTTTATAAATGTTCAAAACTCAAGGCCAGAGAGGTTCAATGACTTGAGTTTACACAACTAAGTAAACTTAGTAGCACAGCTAATTTTGGAAGCTAGTGCTCTTAGTTTAGCTCCATCCTTCTCCCTTATTCCTCAAATACAGCCACTCACTAAGTCCTCTCCATTTCCCTGTATCCTTGTTCCCTCCACCTGTTCTCTTCTCTCCTTTGCTACTGTGCTTATCCAAGTCCAGAATGTCAAGATCTTTCATCTGAATCACTGCAATAATGTTCTAATCTAGTGGGCCTTCAGGACTCTCTTTCTCTCCATCTGAAATCACTTCTCACTCTGCCCCAACAGTGATTTTCTGCTCTACTAGGGTGGATTGCATGGTTTTCTATTGCCCTTTTCCCTTTGCCAGCATTTCCCACATAGGGGCTCACCTTTAGCTTTGGTCTTAGAATAAAGGAGAAGGGAGCAGAGCTAAAGCTGATCCAGAGTGGACATGTAGTATGTGAGAAAAACAAACATTTGTCGTTATTGCCACTGAGATTCCAAGGTCATCTGTGTATTCCACATACTTAAAATAGTGCCTTGCACAAAGAAGGCACTGAAATTTTTTTTAACTGAATGAATGGATCATCTTATTTAAGCCTAACAGCAAACTTACTTTAGATACTATTATCATCTCCATTTTGCAGATGAGAAAACTAAGGCCTAAGGAGTTTAAATAGTTAAACTCCTTAGTTTAAATAGTTTAAATAGTTAAATAGTAGGTCTAAAGTTATATAGCTAGCAGGTGGTAAAGCTGGAATTCAAACCCAGAACCTCTAACCCCAAAGCCAAAATTCTTTAACCATTGCATCACACTGATTCTGAGAATGCTTACAACTGCTTGAGTTTGATATATGTATTTGGTTCTTAATTATGTATTATCTTACTGTTGTCTGGTTATTTCACATATTATGATCTTGACTCTCCTACACCATTTCCCCATGGTTGTAAGCAACTTGGGGGCAAGGATTTCATCCTATCACAAGCCCAAGCACCTAGTCAAGGCTCAATAAAGACTTATTCCCTGACCGACTGTACCTGGCTCAAGGCAAGAGTTCACTCTTACTTCTAGTCCTCAAGGAGTCAGAACTCTGGAGTGAGCATTCTTCACCTTGACTCAGAGCTCCAGAGGCAAAGACTTAATTTTAAACAACTTTAAGTCTGACAGGGATATAACCTTTGAAGTAAAAGATCATTTCCTTCCTAGATGTGAGCCCTATCACTCAAAGACAGGAAGGAAAAAAAATGCCATCTAGAAAGATTGTTTTAAAAAAAGAAAGAGAAAATAGCCCTCAATTGGAAAAGCAGGAGTTAGCACAAAAAGTCTATTTATATTGGGGAATGTCCCAGGACAATAAATTTGCATTCACACCCTGCTTTTCCAGAGAGCAGCCTGCACGGTCACTGGCTCAGACAGTCCACTGTTCTCCAGTCTCATCATGTACAAGGTACACAAGCCTGAAGCTGAAAGGGCAGCCACTGCCATGAAAGCACCCTCTTAGCCTGTCACCTCCCAAGGAAAGGGAAAAGGGCACTGCTCAAATCTCTCCAGGTGCTCTTCTGCCATTGTATTCCTGAGAATACAGTTTACTCTCTCCAAGGCTCTCTCTGCTGCATCCTTGCCCTTCTCAGAAGGCTCAAAGAGCAAACAGGGAAGGTAAGTCACTTTAAACAAAAATAAATAACAGCCTTGAGGAATTAGATTTAAAGCCATCTTTAAGAGGAGACATGCATAGGAGAAGTTTTATTCATTTCAGTGCAAGTCTACAATAGTGATATGACTCTGCAGCCAGAAAGCTTTGGTTCAAATACTAGTCTACCATTTACTAGCTATGTGACCTTGGACAAATTATTTTATCTTTGAATGTTTAATTTTCCTCATTTGGAAAACAGAGATGACAATAGTATCTACTCTACCCCTATGAGGTTATTATAAGGATTAAATGGAATTATGACAGGTAACACCCTTAACAGTGTCTGTCACATAGTAGGCCCTCAATCAGTATTAGCTGTTACGGCTGTGATCATTATTATCTAAGGAATGGCCATGGGTTCATGAGTCCTAGTCAATCATTTTCCAAGTCTAGAACATGGCAAAGTATCACATATATATATAGAGAGAGAGAGAGAGAGCAAACAATACAACAGACCTGCTACAATAGACTTGTTATAGAGATAAAACTTGGGTACAGACTCTGCCATTCGGGAGCTTGAAGGCTGTTGGTATAATATAGCAGACAGATAATTATCAAATAGAGAAGTGGTAAGTCCAAAGATAAATTATACTTGCAATAGCCAAGATGTGGAATCAACTTAAGCAACCATCAATGGATGAATGAATAAATAAAATGTAGTATATATACACAATGGAATACTAGTTGGCCATAAAAAAAGGGAAATCCTGCCATTTGCAACAACACAGATGAACCTGAAGGACATTATATTAAGTGAAACAAGCCAGGCATGGAAAGACAAATAGTGTACAACCTTACTAATATGTGGAATCTAAAAAAGTTGATCTTACAGAAGTAGAGAGAAGAATGATAGTTACCAGAGGCTGGGGCAGTTGAGGGAGGGGTTAGGAAGATGTTGGCCAAAGGATATAAAATTACAGCTAGGTAGAAGGAATAAGTTTAATAGATCAATTGCACGGTGACTACACCATGGTGACTATAGATAAAATACTGTATTTCTGAAAAATGTTAAGAGAGGACATTAAGTGCTCTCACTATAAAAAATGATAATGTGAGATAATGCATGTTAACTAGCCAGATTTAACCATTCAGCTATGTATATGTACTTCAAAACACCATGTTGTACTATATAAATACACAATTTTATCTGTCAATCTAAAAAATAAATTAATTTAAAAAACATAGGAAGTGGAGCCAAGATGGCCGAATAGGAACAGTTCCAGTCTACAGCTCCCAGCATGAGTGACGCAGAAGACGAGTGATTTCTGCATTTCCAACTGAGGTACCGGGTTCATCTCACTGGGGAGTGTCAGAAAGTGGGTGCAGGACACTGGGTTCAGTGCACCAAGCATGAGCTTAAGCAGGGCGAGGCATCGCCTCACCTGGGAAGCGCAAGGGGTCAGGGAATTCCCTTTCCTAGTCAAAGAAAGGGGTGACAGATGGCACCTGTAACATCAGGTCACTCCCACCCTAATACTGCACTTTTCCAACGGTCTTAGCAAATGGCACAACAGGAGATTTTATATCCCATGCCTGGCTCGGAGGGTCCTACGCCCACGGAGCCTCGCTGATTGCTAGCACAGCAGTCTGAGACCAAACTGCAAGGTGGCAGTGAGGCTGGGGGAGGGGCACCTGCCATTACCGAGGCTTGAGTAGGTAAACAAAGCGGCCAGGAAGCTTGAACTAGGTGGAGCCCACCACAGCTCAAGGAGGCCTGCCTGCCTCTGTAGGCTCCACCTCTGAGGGCAGGGCATAAGCAAACAAAACGCAGCAGAAACCTCTGCAGACTTATATGTCCCTGTTTGACAGCTTTGAAGAGAGTAGTGGTTCTCCCAGCATGCAGCTGGAGATCTGAGAACAGACAGACTGCCTCAAGTGGGTCCCTGAACCCCGAGTAGCCTAACTGGGAGACAGCCCCCAGTAAGGGCAGACTGACACCTCACACGGCTGGGTACTCCTCTGAGACAAAACTTCCAGAGGAATGATCAGGCAGCAACATTTGCTGTTCACCAATATATGCTGTTCTGCAGGCTCCGCTGCTGATACCCAGGCAAACAGGGTCTGGAGTGGACCTCCAGGAAACTCCAACAGACCTGCAGCTGAGGGTCCTGACTGTTAGAAGGAAAACTAACAGAAAGGACATCCACACCAAAACCCCATCTGTACGTCACCATCATCAAAGACCAAAAGTAGATAAAACCACAAAGATGGGGAAAAAACAGAGCAGAAAAACTGGAAACTTTAAAAATCAGAGCGCCTCTCATCCTCCAAAGGAATGCAGCTACTTACCAGCAACGGAACAAAGCTGGACAGAGAATGACTTTGACGAGTTGAGAGAAGAAGGCTTCAGATGATCAAACTACTCTGAGCTAAAGGAAGAAGTTCGAACCCAAGGCAAAGAAGTTAAAAACCTTGAAAAAAAATTAGACGAATGGCTAACTAGAATAACCAATGCAGAGAGGTCCTTAAAGGACCTGATGGAGCTGAAAACCATGGCATGTGAACTACGTGACGAATGCACAAGCCTCAGTAGCCGATTTGATCAACTGGTAGAAAGGGTATCAGTGATGGAAGATCAAATGAATGAAATGAAGCGAGAAGAGAAGTTTAGAGAAAAAAGAATAAAAAGAAACCAACAAAGCCTCCAAGAAATATGGGACTATGTGAAAAGACCAAATCTGTGTCTCACTGGTGTACCTGAAAGTGACGGGGAGAATGGAACCAAGTTGGAAAACACTCTGCAGGATATTATCCAGGAGAACTTCCCCAATCTAGCAAGGCAGGCCAACATTCAAATTCAGGAAATACAGAGAATGCCACAAAGATACTCCTTGAGAAGAGCAACTCCAAGACACATAACTGTCAGGTTCACCAAAGTTGAAATGAAGGAAAAAACGTTAAGGGCAGCCAGAGAGAAAGGTTGGGTTACCCACAAAGGGAAGCCCATCAGACTAACGGCTGATGTCTTGGCAGAAACTCTACAAGCCAGAAGAGAGTGGGGGCCAATACTCAACATTCTTAAAGAAAAGAATTTTCAACCCAGAATTTCATATCCAGCCAAACTAAGCTTCATAAGTGAAGGAGAAATAAAATACTTTACAGACAAACAAATGCTGAGAGATTTTGTCACCAACAAGCCTGCCCTAAAAGAGCTCCTGAAGGAAGCACTAAACATGGAAAGGAAAAACCAGTACCAGCCACTGCAAAAACATGCCAAATCGTAAAGACCATTGAGGCTGGGAAGAAACTGCATCAACTAACGAGCAAAATAACCAGCTAACATCATAAAGACAGGATCAAATTCACACATAACAATATTAATCTTAAATGTAAATGGGCTAAATGCTCCAATTAAAAGACACAGACTGGCAAACTGGATAAAGAGTCAAGACCCATCAGTGTACTGTATTCAGGAAACCCATCTCACATGCAGAGACACACATAGGCTCAAAATAAAGGGATGGAGGAAGATCTACTAAGCAAATGGAAAACAAAAAAAGGCAGGGGTTGCAATCCTAGTCTCTGATGAAACAAACTTTAAACCAACAAAGATCAAAAGAGACAAAGAAGGCCATTACATAATGGCAAAGGGATCAATTCAACAATAAGAGCTAACTATCCTAAATATACGTGCACCCAATACAGGAGCACCCAGATTCACAAAGCAAGTCCTTAGAGAACTACAAAGAGACTTAGACTCCCACACAATAATAATGGGAGACTTTAACACCCCACTGTCAACATTAGACAGATCAACGAGACAGAAAGTTAGCAAGCATACCCAGGAATTGAACTCAGCTCTGCACCAAGCGGACCTAATAGACATCTACAGAACTCTCCACCCCAAATCAACAGAATATACATTCTTTTCAGCACCACATCACACCTATTCCAAAATTGACCGCATAGTGGGAAGTAAAGTACTCCTCAGCAAATGTAAAAGAACAGAAATTATAACAAATTGTCTCTGAGACCACAGTGCAATCAAACTAGAACTCAAGATTAAGAAACTCACTAAAAACCGCTCAACTACATGGAAACTGAACAACCTGCTCCTGAATGACTACTGGGTACATAACGAAATGAAAGCAGAAAGAAAGATGTTCTTTGAAACCAATGAGAACAAAGACACAGCATACCAGAATCTCTGGGACACATTCAAAGCAGTGTGTAGAGGAAAATTTATAGCACTAAATGCCCACAAGAGAAAGCAGAAAAGATCCAAAATTGACACCCTAACATCACAATTAAAAGAACTAGAGAAGCAAGAGCAAACACATTCAAAAGTTAGCAGAAGGCAAGAAATAACTAAGATCAGAACAGAACTGAAGGAAATACAGACATAAAAAACCCTTCAAAAATCAATGAATCCAGGAGCTGGTTTTTTGAAAAAATCAACAAAATTGATAGACTGCTAGCAAGACTAATGAAGAAAAGAGAGAAGAATCAAATAGACGCAATAAAAAATGATAAAGGGGATATCACCACAGATCCCACAGAAATACAAACTACCATCAGAGAATACTATAAACACCTCTACGCAAATAAATTAGAAAATCTAGAAGAAATGGATAAATTCCTCAACACATACGCCCTCCCAAGACTAAACCAGGAAGAAGCTGAATCTCTGAATAGACCAATAACAAGCTCTAAAATTGAGGCAATAATTAATAGCTTACCAACTGAAAAAGTCCAGAACCAGATGGATTCACAGCTGAATTCTACCAGAGGTACAAGGAGCTGGTACCATTCCTTCTGAAACTATTCCAATCAACAGAAAAAGAGGGAATCCTCCCTAACTCATTTTATGAGGCCAGCATCATCCTGATACCAAAGCCTGGCAGAGACACAACAAAAAAAGAGAATTTCAGACCAATATCCCTGATGAACATCGACGCCAAAATCCTCAATAAAATACTGGCAAACCGAATCCAGCAGCACATCAAAAAGCTTATCCACCATGATCAAGTGGGCTTCATCCCTGGGATGCAAGGCTGGTTCCACATACGCACATCAATAAACGTAATCCAGCATATAAACAGAACCAACGACAAAAACCACATGATTATCTCAATAGATGCAGAAAAGGCCTTTGACAAAATTCAACAACCCTTCATGCTAAAAACTCTCAATAAATTAGGTATTGATGGGATGTATCTTGAAATAATAAGAGCTATCTATGACAAACCCACAGCCAATATCATACTGAATGGGCAAAAACTGGAAGCATTCCCTTTGAAAACTGGCACAAGACAGGGATGCCCTCTCTCACCACTCCTATTCAACATAGTGTTGGAAGTTCTGGCCAGGGCAATCAGGCAGGAGAAGTAAATAAAGGGCATTTAATTAGGAAAAGAGGAAGTCAAATTGTCCCTGTTTGCAGATGACATGATTATATATCTAGAAAACCCCATCGTCTCAGCCCAAAATCTCCTTAAGCTGATAGGCAACTTCAGCAAAGTCTCAGGATACAAAATCAATGTGCAAAAATCACAAGCATTCTTATACACCAATAACAGACAAACAGAGAGCCAAATCATGAGTGAACTCCCATTCACAATTGCTTCAAAGAGAATACAATACCTAGGAATCCAACTTACAAGGGATGTGAAGGACCTCTTCAAGGAGAACTACAAACCACTGCTCAATGAAATAAAAGAGGATACAAACAAATGGAAGAACATTCCATGCTCATGCGTAGGAAGAATCAATATTGTGAAAATGGCCATACTGCCCAAGGTAATTTATAGATTCAATGTCATCCCCATGAAGCTACCAATGACTTTCTTCACAGAATTGGAAAAAACTACTTTAAAGTTCATATGGAACCAAAAAAGAGCCCACATTGCCAAGTCAATCCTAAGCCAAAAGAACAAAGCTGGAGGCATCACGCTACCTGACTTCAAACTATACTACAAGGCTACAGTAACCAAAACAGCATGGTACTGGTACCAAAACAGAGATATAGACCAATGGAACAGAACAGAACCCTCAGAAATAACGCCGCATATCTACAACTATCTGATCTTTGACAAACCTGAGAAAAACAAGCAATGGGGAAAGGATTCCCTATTTAATAAATGGTGCTGGGAAAACTGGATAGCCATATGTAGAAAGCTGAAACTGGATCCCTTCCTTACACCTTATACAAAAATTAATTCAAGATAGATTAAAGACTTACATGTTAGACCTAAAACCATAAAAACCCTAGAAGAAAACCTAGGCATTACCATTCAGGATATAGGCATGGGCAAGGACTTCATGTCTAAAACACCAAAAGCAATGGCAACAAAAGCCAAAATTGACAAATGGGATCTAATTAAACTAAAGAGCTTCTGCACAGCAAAAGAAACTACCCTCAGAGTGAACAGGCAACCTACAGAATGGGAGATAATTTTTGCAATCTACTCATCTGACAAAGGGCTAATATCCAGAATCTACAATGAACTCAAACAAATTTACAGAAAAAAACAAACAACCCCATTAACAAGTGGGCAAAAGATATGAACAGACACTTCTCAAAAGAAGACATTTATGCAGCCAACAGACACATGAAAAAATGCTCATCATTACTGGCCATTGGAGAAATGCAAATCAAAACCACAATGAGATATCATCTCACACCAGTAAGACTGGTGATCATTAAAAAGTCAGGAAACAACAGGTGCTGGAGAGGATGTGGAGAAATAGGAACACTTTTACACTGTTGGTGGGAGTGTAAACTAGTCCAACCACTGTGGAAGTCAGTGTGGTGATTCCTCAGGGATCTAGAACTAGAAATACCATTTGACCCAGCCATCCCATTACTGGGTATATACCCAAAGGATTATAAAACATGCTGCTATAAAGACACATGCACATGTATGTTTATTGCAGCACTATTCACAATAGCAAAGACTTGGAACCAATCCAAATGTCCAACAACGATAGACTGGATTAAGAAAATGTGGCACATATACACCATGGAATACTATGCAGCCATAAAAAAGGATGAGTTCATGTCCTTTGTAGGGACATGGATGAAGCTGGAAACCATCATTCTCAGCAAACTATTGCAAGAACAAAAAACCAAACACCGCATGTTCTCACTCATAGGTGGGAATTGAACAATGCGAACTCATGGACACAGGAAGGGGACCATCACACACCGGGGCCTGCTGTGGGGTGGGGGGAGGGGGAGGGATAGCATTAGGAGATATACCTAATGTTAAATGATGAGTTACTGGGTGCAGCACACCAACATGGCACATGTATACACATGTAACTAATCTGCATGTTGTGCACATGTACCCTAAAACTTAAAGTATAATAAAAAAAATAAAAATAAACTATAAAGATTGAAGGATCAAAGACGGATTCATGGAAGAAGAGGCAACTAAATGGGACCTTGAAAGAAAGGTAGGAGGTGTACAGATAAAGGGGAGACAGGCAGTGAGTCTCCATAATAGTCGGGCACTAGAGTGAGCAGCAGGCAGCATGGACACTGGCTATCCATTTTGTACTACATCCAGAATGTTTCCCTGCATCCTGCAAGAAATCCGAGATGATTCCCTGTTTACTCATGTGAGGATTTCGCCAATAATTTCCCATTAACTACAGTGATATTAGCATGCCTCTCTTTTATACAACCACTAACAGATTAGTAAAGATTACTAAAGAAAGAAAGATTACCTCTAACACAAAGTCTGAAGGCCCACACTAATACTCACATGTAAAATGCTTAGTACTTACTAGTCACTTAGTAAGTATTCAATAAATTTCTTTTTTTCTTTTTTTTTTTAAATTTGAGACAGTCTCACTTGGTCACCCACGCTGGAGTGCAGTGGTGCAGTCTCAGCTCACTGCAGCCTTGGCCTCCTGGGTTCAAGGTCAGGAGTTTGAGACCAGCCTGAACAACATGGTGAAACTCTGTCTCTATTAAAAATACAAAAATTAGCCAGGCATGGTGGCACATGCCTGTAGTCCCAGTTACTTGGGAGGCTGAGGCAGGGGAATCGCTTGAACCCAGGAGGCGGAGATTGCACTGAGCTGAGATTACGCCACTGCGCTGCAACCTGCTGAGTGACAGAGCGAGACTCTGTCTGAAGAAAAAAAAAAAATCAATTTGGCAACTATATTCTCATCCCAAACAGCATTAGGATAGATCTGGTTTCAGTAATAACAGTGTTACTCGTTTACTTAAGCATAATCTGCATGTTCTGAAAACAAAACAATATTGAAAAGAAGCAAGAGAATACTTGCCTGTCATTAAGGTAGTCCTGCCTAAGAGAACTGCTCCTAGATGGTTTAATATTGGTTCCTAGCAAAAATTATGATCCATAAGCATTATTTCCCACAGCCATGTGGAAACCATATGGCTTGGACAAGTTATTCTTTAGGCCAGTGTCTGAGAATGAATGAAGATCCTAGGCTTGGGATTCTAACACTGGCAGAGTAGAATCTCTGTCAAGCTGTAAGAGCTGCAGAGAAACACTGAAGAAATGGGTCTGTATAAATTCCCTACAATGGCTGTCTTACAGGGGTATTAGGCTCTGAGGCCCAAATACAGGCTTTCTCTTCCATGTCTATAACACCTTAATGTTTTCAAAAGACTCATATACATTTGCTCATTTAACTCCCCCCCCAATTGTATCACCTTATTATCCCCATTTTGTAAATAACAAAAGCAGACTCACAAATAACTGCTAAAGGCAAATGACCTACACAAAGTGACAGACTGAGAATGTAATCCAGTGAATCTAAGACTTTCCTATTCCAAACCAGGGTTTTCTGCACTTAGAAAACAGGGTTTGCAAAGCGATTTGTATATTCAAAAATAAATGCCTGTTATGCTCTAGAGAATACAGTTGTGAAATGGACAAAATTTTTACCCTTATTACATTTATGTTCTAGCGGAAAAGAAAGAAAATAAGTTAAATATATAATACACTTTCATGCAGTGGCAAGTTTATGCAGAAAACCAAAACACAGTCAAGAATATTATTCTAAAGTAGTAGTATTTCAGCAGACACCTGGATGAAGCGAGAGAACGAGTCATGTGAAACTCTGGGGACGAGCATTCCTGCAGAGGGGAACATGAGCACAAAGGCCCTGACATAGGAAGGAACTTCACCTCTGAAGAAGAGGAAGAAAGCAATATGGCTAAGGTGAGCAATGAGGCATGGGGATGGAGAGAGGTAGGTGGGAGCCTCATTTTGTGAGGCTTTATAGGCTCTCTTTCCCCCACTAAGGCAGAGACTGTGAGTAAGGAGCAAAAGAGACTGACTCGAGAGATATTTGGGGTTTAGCATCAAGGGGACTTGCGGACTTACTCTGTGGAGGGGTGAGGGAGGGGGAGAACCACAGGTTATTCTGACACAAATTCCAGACACAATGTAATTCATAGTGCAGTGTTCTGACTGGGAGAATTACATGATCTTCTTTGTATCCTAGAAGTTCATGCTAGCTTCTATGTGAAGAATGGAATGGCAGTGGGGGTCGGGGGAGGTCTGGCAGGAGGAAGAATGAGTAAGAGTGGCCAACAGGAAGAAGGCAGTAGGATTCTTAAAGGGAAGTATGTGGCATACACCAGGACGGTGAGGTAGAGGTGGTGTGAAGCCTCTATATTTGATATATACTTAGGACAAATCTGACAGGATTTGCTGATTAACTGGATGTGGAATGCAAAAAAAAAAAGAAAGATATTGGGAATAATTCCTCGGCTACTGGCCTGAGACAGAATAATGCCACTTACTAAGAAGGCAAAGGGTAGAAGAATTTGGAGGACAGAGGAGAAAACAAGAGTTATGTTTTGAACAAAAGTAGCTAGGACAGCAAAGCCATGGGATGTAGGACAGGAAGGTCTTACTCTAACTCTTGCCACTTCTAATTTTAGCTGGGCAAACTTGGACAAGTCACTTATACTCATTCAATTTCCTCATCTATGTAATATGGAAATAGCAAAACCACCTCTCAGGATTGACAGAACATGGAAATGAGATGTCCGTGCACATCCTGTAAATTGTAAAGGTGCTGAATCAAGGTCAATTTTCTTGTTTCCTTTGTTATTTCTGGTAAATGTTTAAATGACTCATGACTCATTTAAGCCTCAGGTTGTAAATACAATTATGTCTTAACAGATACCATTATAAAAGACTTACCTTTATTTCATTCACTCTTATTTCACTTGTTTAGCACTTTACGCTTTTAAAGGGTATAAGACAAAATTTACTCTTCTTACTTGTATTTCTTACGTACTATCATTACTTGATTCTTAATACATAGTAGGTACTACTGCTCCTATATGACTGATGAGAAAATTGAGACAGCCAGGTTCTAATGAAAGCCTGATATCCTGGTCTCACTGCCCTTCTCTCTTGGCCTTTAGTCAGAATACTGTGATCCTAGTGTATAATCCATCTGGCATCAAGGCCTGGCCATATTAGAGAAATTTCTCACACATTGAAAGTTAAAGCAATTCCATGATCATTGGTGAAAAAAAATTACTATTCGTTAGATGCAGTACTTAAGGGTTTGTAAAATGTTTTCTTGGTTCTTCCCAACATATGATAAACATGTATTAGCTTTTAGATGTAAGAGGCACTATCAAGACATAGAAGGATTGGCCCACTTTATGCAATGACTTAAAACTGGAAAAATGTAATTGTTCTGCATTGCTTTATATTTAGTAATATTCCTTGTCACTGCCTGATTCATTCATTCATTTAACCAAGATTTGAGTGTCTACTCTGTGCTAGGCAATGTGCTGGGTTGCTTGTTTTACAGTGGTACCACTGCGTTGTTATTACTAAAAATAGGAAAAAAATCACATTATTAAGACAAAAAGAACATAAAACTTATTTATGGTGATATTTTTTAAATGGAATTATGTACATCCAAGTTTTTTTTTTTAATGGCAATTTTTAAAAATATCTGAGCAGCCCTCTCTGGGCCTCCTTTTCCCAGGAATATGTATTACCTTCATTTTCTATACCCCTGATAGCTACACTTTTAATTGCGGTACAAATAAATTACATGAATAATAGCAGAGAAATGTCCTAGAAGTCCCAAAGTATGGTGAAGAGATGATTTCAACTAAGATAATGACTCTACATTTTCTTTATACCCTCTTTCTGCATGTCAGTCATTAGCAACAAGTCCCAACATCTAGTGGAGAAAAAGCAGCATGCATCATAGTATATCTTGAGGAACACCACTTCTAAAGACTTACATTTATGTGATGGGGTTAAGAGTCTTACGGTCAATAAGTGTGGGAATGTCAGGTTAAACAAACTAAACATATTTCATTATCACAAGGCTGCTCAAAGTCTTTATTGCATCATGAAACTTGTGGAGCTCCAAGAAGGTGGCCTTTGGAAACTTACTGGACCATGGAACCCTAGTTTAGAAGAGCAAACTGAGAGCTAAAATAGTGTTTAGTCTAATATATCTAGAAAGCTCTGCATTGGGAGATTTCCATTTACAGCTACAAGTGACATGAATGTTTTAGTAGGCTGCCGATCCTTTAATGTGAGTTGAGCAGACACAGAATAAATATATGCCCCTCAAATGTGGAGGAGAGACCATTCACAATGTGGTAAGCGCCATGAAAACAAGGACTGCATTTGGTTCTGGTTTCTACTATAGCTCCAACATCTAGCACTACCTAGCACATAGTAGACACTTGATCAAATTTGTTTCATAAATGTACAAAGGAATGAATTTTATAGAAATGACAGAAGGCTCATGGAGATTTTGGAATGAGTGGCCACACTGTTTTTCTGTCTTTAATGATTTTAATTTCCATATCTAGACTTTAAGACGGTACTTAATTTATTTTCTTAGAACAAAGGAGTAAGAATTATTCCAACAGCCTTTTGCATCACGACCCTGTATTAATCTAATAAAAGAAAGGTTACACTCCTATTTGTTGATGAACAGCACATTAATGAGATCTTCTTGAAATAATCCCATCTCTATTATGGAGGCAAAATTACATTTTCCAGCATAATTACTGTGTCAGTCAAGCTCCCAAATTTTGATATTAATTTTTTCCCTTGCAAAGGCAATATTAACTTATTAGTTTGTCAAACCTCTGGAAAATCAAGGGTAACCTCATAGTTTTAAATAGTGATTATCAACCTCTACTGCTCTGTTTGTTTGTTTTAGGATGGAGTCTTGCTTCACTGGCCAGGCTGGAGTGCAGTGGCACGATCTCGGCTCACTGCAATCCCGCCTCGCGGTTCAAGCAATTATGGTGCCTCAGCCTCCTGAGTAGGTGGGATTACAGGTGTGTGCAACCATGCCTGGCTAATTTTTGTATTTTTAGTAGAGACGGGGTTTTGCCATGTTGGCCAGGCTGGTCTGGAACTCCTGGCCTCAATCAATTCACCTGCCTAGGCCTCTCAAAGTGCTGGGATTACAGGAGTGAGCTGTAGCACCCGGCCTCTACTGCTCTCTTATTCTTATTCTATCTTTTGTATATCTTCCTACCAGCCAGAAGGACTGGGTAAGTTTTATTTTCTATAACAGATTTTGAAAGAAGGATTAATGAGTCTCCTTAAAATGTGCTTTTAAATTACACATCACTTACCTTCCTTTACCTTTTCTTAAGATTCTATAGCATAAGTTCTTTGAAGGCTGGGACTTTGAATGTTTTCTCTACAGTTATATCCCTAGCACCAAAGACAATGCTAGAATGAAGCAGGTGCTCTAAAAACTCTGCTGAATGAATGCCATGTTTCTCCTCCAACTGAGACTCACTGTTTCAAAGTAAAATATCTGTTTCTGTCTCTCTCTCTCTCTCTAACATACACATACACACACCAAGGAATACAGGGAAGTCTTGCTGTATATTATGGCATTTTTTCCCATGAAAAATACATACATCATGGAAGTTTGGTTCTAACAGATCATTTAGATGAGTTTTGGACAGCCTCTGCATTGCTTAATGTCAACAAACCTCCTCTTCTTCTGAGCTTTACCCCACCTGAGCCATAGAACCAAGTTAGGAAAGAATCATGACTCACATTATTCACCTGATCAGGGCTTGGGACATAGGGCTAATCTTGAGCTATGAGCCTGATAGATCTCAAAAGAAAAGGATATTCTCCAACATTGTTCATTCGGGATATTTTATTTTGCAGCTAACCTTGTTTTACTAGAAAAAATATTTTCCTTTTTATTATAAATTGTTTATATCTGCTTAAGTCTGATTTTGTTGTAGATTGGGACCACGATTTCTCTATAGAATAGTATAGGTTCTATTTTAAAAATACAACCCAATAGGATAAGATTCAGTACATTAACTTACTAGCTCTATGACCTTGGTCAAGGTACTGAACATCTCTGAGTCTGTTATGAGAATATTAATAGCATGTTTTTCCTAAATTGTTTTGAGGATTAAATGAGATAGATAATCATCCATGTGAGTGCTGGCTACTTTCATTAACACAGTCTCTGAAGGGTTGATGGACTAATAGCTATGATGATTAAGTACCTAAACAAGTTCATCACTTCCTCGAGTCCTCCTTTTATTTTCTAACAAGCCACTTTCCCCTATTCGACCCAAAGAAGTAGACACCCACAACAAGTATGCTTTATGGGTCCTATTTTATTACCAAGTATGAATCCCTCCTGCAGAGTTTAGATAGGATTTCTGGGTCACTTCTGGGTGAGTGGTATAATTTCAGGTAGTCATTCATGTGGCCCCCTGTATTTCTTTTCACAGCCTACGTGACAATCTTCTTTCCTCAGGCGATTCCTTAAAAAGACTTGGTTGGCTAGGGATTCAACCCTTCACTTTAGTGTATCAAAAATTCCTAACCTGAGGGAACGAGTGCCAAAAGCTAGTAGCATGCTGGGCTGGAGCATCTGTGCCTGGCCTTTTCATCTATGCAACTTGCCGGTAATTGCTAAGTTTTCCCTCCTGCAACAATTATCCCCCCATTTTTCTCCCTGCCCCGCACCGTACCCCCCAGTTAATTATCAGTTCTGGAATTAAACTGCTTGCCTCTCCTGCTGTTGCCATGGTAACAGTTGGCCTGCACCTGCCACTTGGTGAACAGTGGCTCTTTCAGAAGAGGCAATGGCAGCTGATGGCTCCACAGCCAGTGAGTAAACTAATGTTTACCTGTCTGGGGAGAGAAGTTCCTGTTCATTCCACCTTAGGCACTTTCCTGGCAAGCCCCACCTCAACTTTCTTCTCAGACAAACTGCTTGTTGACATTCAACAAAGAAAATGAAAAAATTTTCTCATAAAAGTACCAAATCCCTGTTGGCTTGTCATAATTCCATCCATCAGCTTTACTTTTTCCTGGCCATGAGGTTGGAAGATATGAATCTTCCATCTTCTGACAAAGGCAGTACAGTATAATAGTTGGAAGCATAGAATTTTAACCCTGATAGATCTGGGTTCTAATCCAGGTTGAGTCACTTTCTAACTGTGTGATCACGGCTTAGTCACTTAATTTCTTATAACATCACTATCTTCATATACACAAACAAAAATGGGATTAGAATAACTGTCCTCACAGAGTTGTTTTAAAACTTTGAAATTATATATGTAGATCTAGCTCCTAGTTAATGTTCAATACACAGGCAGGTATTACTGCTGGATAACTATTAACCCTGGACAATCCTGAAAGGTAGCGAGAAGTTGGCAGCTTAGTGAGTTTTAACTAGTCTTTGTATGAGAGACAATAATACCTGTACAGGTGGGAGAAAATGGCAGCTGTCCCAAAGTATCTAGACCAAGATGCATCTAGCAGCTGAGAAATGCCTCTCTCCCTGCTTTTGCTGCAACTCTGTCAGGTTCTCCCTCTTTGCACTGTTTTTCTCATGCTCAATCTCACTTCCCTCTAAATAGAAATGATGAAACCAGAGGGTAAGACATGTACTCACCAAGAAAACAAAATGCCTTTCCATTTTATAACCACATTGCGAACCTACAGGGAACAACTGGTAGTGGTGCTAAGAAGGAATGAGGCATTTATATAAGAAAATGTTTTTCTTCGCTGAACTCCCTGCTTATAGACAAGAAAGCATTTATTTTATGAACCTGCAACCATTCATGTTTAGGTCCTGGGTCCAAACAAGTATAGGCACATGAATTTGCCTCATGGTTTGTAAAACCTCACCATTTAGGGTACTCCAGTTGTAACTCAGCCTTTGGCTACATTTCTTAAAGTTCTGAAGCCACCTCCCTACAGTTCTAATTTTAAGAAAATCTGCACTCATCGACTCTGAACTTCACATCATCTAGGAAAGAAAACAAACAAACAAAAAACTCCACCAGCATATGCTGCCAGCATGAGTTACAGATGCCTGCTGTTTCAGCTTCTGGATAAAGAGGTAACTGCAGTTCAGTGACATAGAGCTACAAAAAAAAAAAAAAAAAAAAAAGAAGGACCCCCGGAAGCTGCTGGGAAAATAGAATTACTGACCTCTTGCCTGCCTCTCACTGGGAAAAAATGTGACAAGATGCTTAAGACCAGCAGGTTTCTCCTAAAATGAAAAAGACACCATCACCACCAATTTTGCTGTGGCTGTCCACAGGTGAGGGAGGCATAACCAAGGACATCAAATTTAGTTATTCTTAAAACATAGACTGAAGTTGTGTGACTTCCTAAAATCCACTCTGCTTAGTGCTAATCCAAAATAGCTATGAAGACAAATAAGGAAGAAGAGAATTAGGCTGCAGCTAGACTCCTCAGCATTGGATCTAACTCAGGGACCAATGTGGCATTCCTTCACATCAACTTAATTGTTTGATTACCTTTTAAGGAAAACCTCTAAATCCTTAAATCTATTTGGAAGATGGTGCTTCAATGTTGCTTTTCTCCATTAATTTAGAAGGAACTAAACTACAGCAGGTCCTTGAATAGAGTCTTTTCATTCAACTTTTTTTTTTATAATGTTGATGAGGAAAAATAAAGGCGGGGGGATTCCCAGTCCGGGCCACTGTGTGTGGAGTTTGTACTTTCTCCCCATGTCTGCATGGGTTTTCTCCAGGTACTCTGGTTTCCTCCCACATCTCAAAGATGTGCACCTTAGGTGAACTGGTGTGTCTAAATTGTCATAGTCTGAGTGAGTGTGGGTGTGAGTGCAGCCTGCAATGAAATGGCATCCTGGCCAGGGCAGGTTCCCACTTTGTGCCCTGAGCTGCTCCAGCCACTCATGACTGTGAACTGGAATAATGGGGTAAATAATTATCTTGCTTGTTTTATTAATCGTTCTTAAATCTTTCTTAACTCTTGTTTATATCAACTGGTCTATGGTAAAATTGGTTTCGTTATACATCATTTCACTTAAAGCTGCTGTTTCCAAGAACCTATGAATGATGTTAAGTGAGGACTTACTGTGCTTTCCAAACTTGACTTTAAATTAGAGGAAGACAGGAGAAAATTTTTCCAATCTATCCATCTGACAAAGGCCTAATATCTAGAGTCTACATGGAACTTAAACAAATTTACAAGAAAAAAACAACCCCATTAAAAAGTGGGCATGAATACGCCCTTCTCCAAAGAAGACATACAAGTAGCCAACAAACAAAAAAGCTCAATATCACTGATCATTAGAGAAATGCAAATCAAAATTACAATGAGATACCATCTCACACCAGTCAGAATAACAGATTCTGGCAAGGTGCAGAGAAAAACCTGTTGGTGGGAGTGTAAATTACTTCAACCATTGTGGAAGAGTGTGTGGTGATTCCTCAAAGACCTAGAACCAGAAATACCATTTGACCCAGCAATCCCATTATTTAGCATATACCCAAAGGAATATAAATCATTCTATTATAAAGATACATGCATGCATATATTCATTGCAGCAATATTCACAATAGCAAAGACATGGAATCAACCCAAATGTCCATCACTGATAGACTGGATAAAGAAAATGTGATACATATACACCATGGAATACTATGCAGCCACAGAAAGGAATGAGATCATGTCCTTTTCAGGGGCATGGATGGAGTTGGAAGCCATTATCCTCAGGAAACTAACATAGGAACAGAAAACCAAGCACTGCACATTCTCACTTTAAGTGGGAGCTGAATGATGAGAACACATGGACTCATGGGGGGAACACCACAAATTGGGGCCTGTCAGAGGGTTGGGTGTGGGAGGAAGAAGAGCATCAGGAAGAATAGCTAATGGATGCTGGGCTTAATACCTAAGCGATGGGACGATCTGTGCAGCAAACCAGCATGGCACACGTTTACCTATGTAACAAACCTGCACGTCCTGCACATGTACCCCTGAACTTAAACACTGAAGAAGAAATAAAAAAAAAAACAGGGTGCCCAGTTAAATTTAAATTTCAGATAACAGTGAATGTTTTTAAATATTTCTTAATTTTTAAATGTTATTGACAAATAAGAATTGTGTATATTTATAGGATACAATGTGATGTTTGATATGTGTAAATATTGTGGAACAATTACGTAAAGCTAGTTAATATATCCATGACTTCACATACTTATTTTTTGTGTTAAGAACATTTAAGATATAATCTTTTAGCAATTCTGAAATACATAATGAATTTTTTAGCATGAGTATCTTCCAAATATTGTGTAGCACATACTCATACTAATTTTTTTTGTTGTTTATATAAATTCCAGTTAAAAAGGGTGTTCTGTATTTTATCTGGCTACTCTAATAGGGAAATGAGCAGAAAAGCCCTAAGAAGGCAAAACAGCTGTCACAAATCCCTGGTATACAGGTACTCTGAGATAATTTATCCATTGAACAAACACCTCCAACCTATTTTGTCATGTGGTTTAGTGTACACTAGGGCAAATATGTACAGTTGTGCACAGGGTGCTTACAACATAATTATTTACTGGGCACACCATTCATAATGTTGACATCAAGTTTTACTTATTTTTAACTATTCTCTGGCATATGATAGTATCCTACTCTAACAAAGTCAGCACATTACGACAATTTTTTGGCAGATGGAATTAGGCATCTTGAGGAAAGGGCACCTTTTTCTAGTTCACGCCAAGGTATCATGGACATGGTAACCCTGTATCCATGGCAGATTAGCATAAAATTTGCTGCAGTGTTTTTCAAACCATGGATTGTAACCCACTGATGAGCTGGGAAATCATTTTAGTGGGTCACAAACATTAGTGATGATAATGATGGAATAGAATATCAGTGTCTTTTATGTAATAAACGTGGTGGAAAAAAAGAAAAGAAAGAATAAATTAGAGGAAGGCAGAAGCTATCAAAACAGACACAAATCAAATAGACAATTCCCTTCTACAACTACTTTACCTCAGTTGCTTAGTTTTCCAACTAAAAGAGCAACCCCCAAAAGGGGAATACTTTAAATGCTTCAAAACATATTTGTCCTTTAAGTATAGTAAGATGTGAGATTTTGATGGGGAAACAAAAATGTAAAGAAAGCAATTTACCCATAACAAATCATGAGATGTGACTGGAGGAAGAAACCTGTAAGATTCAGAAGTCTGTCCATTTCTTCTATAAGGGGGCAATGCTGTAGTCAAGAGGTAAAGCGTAACAGAAAACAGTAACAACTTCTGGTGCCTCAACATGGTACACTTCACCCTTTACAAGCTGGACTCAACCCACCTTCTAGTCTAGTCTCCTACCCCAGGCCAGTCATGCAGTTATTCACCATTCCCCGCACAGCACATGTGTTTTCACTCCTTGAGCCTTCCTACTTACCTCTTTGCTTAGACAGCTTTCCTGTTTTTCCAATCTGAAGAAGCCTAGACCTATCCATTTGTCAAGGTCCAGAAGAAACGCTATATTTTCTGATTCTTTATCCTGAGTTAGTTGGAACCTACTCTACATCCAACATTTTTTTCAGAGAATCATTATACTGCAATAGTTAAGAGCTTGCAGTCTGGAGTCAGACTACTTGAGTTTGAATGCTGGCTCTACCACTTTTTAGCTGTGTGACCTCATGAGTGTATAACCTCTCTGCGACTCAGTTTTTTCATTCAAATTAGAAATAAAAATAATATATTAATGATATTAATGTATAATTAATATTATAATTATATTTAATATATTAATATAATTGTATATTTATATGTAATATATAATACATAACATATAACATTAATATAATTATATTTAATATAATTATATTTAATATAGTTAATATAATTATATTTAATATAATTATATATAATACAATTAATATAATTATATATAATACAATTAATATAATTATATATAAAATACAATTAATATAATTAATATAATTATATATAATACAATTAATATAATTAATATAATTATATATAATACAATTAATATAATTAATATAATTATATATAATACAATTAATATAATTATATTTAATATAATTATATATAATACAATTAATATAATTATATTAATTGTAATTAATATAATTATATTTAATATAATATTAATATATTAACATTAATTATTAGGACTGTTGTCCTATATATATAGACCATATATATATATATCCATATATATAGATAATATATGTAAATGTTTAAAATACTTCCTCACATATAGTTGGCACTCAATGCTTCTTTATAATTTATCATAATAATTATTACACTGCACTTAAATATAAAATTTAAATTGCTGGCTAGATGTGGTGGCTCATGCCTGTATTCTCAGCACTTTGGGAGGCCGAAGCAGGAGGATCACTTGACCCCAGTAGTTCAAAACCAGCTTGGGGAACAAAGTGAGACTTCATCTCTACAAAAAATAAAAAAATTAGCCAGGCATGGTGGCATGAACCTATTGTCCCAGCTACTCGCTGATGGGGGTGGGAGGCTGAGTTGGGAGGATCACTTAAGCCAGGGAGGTTGAGGCTGCGGTGAGCTGTGATTGTACTATTACACTCTAGCCTAGGTGACAAAGCAAGTCCCTGTCTCATAAATAAATAAATAGATAGATAGATAAAATTAAAATGGTTTATTTAGCTCTCTTTCAAACTAGATTTTGAGATCTTTAAATGCAGGAACAAAGTCTTAGTTATATCCATATCCCTAAGGCCTAGCAGAGGGCCTGGCATTAGGCGCTCTAAGATGTTTGTTGAAAGAAAGAATTCCTCTGCAATCTTTGTTGTCTGAGAGGTTAGGGAATAGAGCTCCTAGTGGGAAATGTTATCCTGATAAGTTCCGAGGCCAAATATATAAACAAGGTTAGCCTGCCAAGCATCGTAACTACTGTACCGGATGGCAAACAAATTGATTAGAGTTAAACCATAGCATGCAAAGTGGCATCCATGCCCCTTCCTCTTGGGCCCTTTTTTCTTAGCATTATAAAGTAGGTAGATGTATGTTAAAAATATAGGCTGCTTCTAGTCAACATTTCCAGGTGGAGGCAGATGCAATAAGCTAGAGGCACTTCAGCTGAATTTTCCAGCTGTGAATGGAATCTCTGGTTAATATACTAACATGCACAAAATAAAGTTGTGACTCTTACGGGCAAATTTCTGAATCAATTATTTTAGCAAGGAGGTATGCTTTGGGTATAGACAGGCAGCACAATGCATAGTGTGGCTTCAACTTTCATCTGACTTAAGTGAGGGATAAACAATCCTTAGCATGGAAAAATAAGGTCAACTCAGGTTCCATAACAGGGAAATGTGACAATTAAGAGACTCTGTATGCTGAAGGCCAACTTAGATGTTGGCACCCCACTTTGCATAATAAGCAGTCCTGATAGTTCCATTCCATATCACAAGTATCACAGCCATTTTCTTCAGCTTCCAGATAGACTTCCTGCAATGAAGACAACGCAACAACCAAACCACAAATTTGCAATCAGAAGACAAAAGAAACCTAAGCGTATCACTAACTTAGTCCTCTTTCATCTCTACAACCTAAATAGAAAGAGAAATGCCATATCTAAGAACATATGGTTATTCATTTAGAGGGGGAAAAAAAGTACCTAGAATACAGACCCAAGATAATTTTTAAAGAAACAAAATTGAGGAAAAAAAACCCACCAAATTATAGAATCTGTAAGCAGGTTGTTCCCACTCCATATGTGATAAAAGACTTGTATTCCTTCTCACAAGGATATCCCCAAAACTAGGTGGAGGAAAGAGTGAAGAGGGGTGAGGATAATATTTACAGGGAACTAAAAATAAGAGTACAAGGATGTTAAATGACTTGCCCAAGGTCACACAGTCAGTCACAGACAGAATCAAAAATAGAAGCTAGGTCTGCTGACTCTCCTTCAGCTCCTACTCCTTCAGAACACGCTTCCTGTTTGATCGCAGAATCGGTATGGGTCAGATTCACAGTGATCTCAGCAGGAGCTTTTTGCCTGAATAACAGCCAGCTTTGAAGATGAAAAATTCTACAGAAGTTCCAAGTGTGGTGTTACTATTAAAAAGCCATTTTCCTCTTAGGTTAAAAAAAATTACAGAAAACCTCAATAGCAAATCAAAATCTAATCCTGATCTTCCTCCTTCTCCTCTAAGCACAAGAGTTTAAGGGTCTTTTCCCTCTCTGACTTCCTACCACTACACAACAGCTTTTACGCCAACAGATCCTATTGCCACCCCCTCTCCTAGGATATATATTACTTCTCAGCAGGCTCCAGCAGGAGTAGAGAAGGAGCCAACCTGTGAGGGAGTGAACACAAGATCTCTCATAATAGCACAGAGAAGGCAGAAAATTGATGCCAAAAGTGTAAATTGCTTTTCTGCTTAGGAAAAAAAAAAAAAATCACTCTGGGCTTCAAAGGTACCTTTTTTTTTTTTTTTTTTTTTTTAGACAGAGTCTTGCTCTGTCACCAGGCTGGACTGCAGTGGCACGATCTCGGCTCACTGCAACCTCTGACTCCCTGGCTCAAGTGAGTCTCCTGCCTCAGCCTCCCAAGTAGCTGGGATTATAGGCACACGCCACCATGCCCAGCTAATTTTTGTATTTTTCATAGAGACGGGGTTTCACCATGTTGGCCAGGATGGTCTCGATCTCCTGACCTCGTGATCAGGGTCAGTCTCCCAAAGTCAAAGACACTCTCTTAAATGATGACTCCACAGCAGTTAATACACATGTTTTACATATTAGGACTTTTGTTTCTCCATGCCCTCCAAGAATTCTTGCCAGCTATATGACTGTGTATCATGGATCTGAGGAGTAAGATACCAGTTTGAGAGGCATCAGACAGCTATTCTGTGGAGTCAAAGGCAGGCTTAGTTGGCTGCTCCCCAGGGAGCACCCCTTTTTCTGCTAACCCTCAGAGGATACTGTGTGAGAATGAGACAAAGACATTCCCTTTATAATGACAGAGGCTGAGAGCGGAAGCAACCTGCAGAAAACAGGGGCCACAGCAATTCAATGTCAAAGCAATTGAAGAACTCCCAGGTTAGAGGAACAAGACCAGTCATATTCTGAGGACTGTGTGTGAATCCTCTTGGCTTTTGTATAGGGTCACAGAGAGAAGCATGCTGCCATTTTGAAGATAGTCCACATGGTGGCTGAGAGCACTTGGTGGTTAAACTCTGAAGCCAGACTAGATTCAAGTCATAGCTCTGCCACTTACTAGCCATGTGATCTAAGGCAAATTAATCTCTCAAGGCATTAATTTCTTCATTTGACAAGTGGGCTAATAACTATATCATGAGGTTTGCATGTAGATTAAATTAGAATATATATAAAGCACTTTGGACATAATGAACTGTCAATAAATGGTAGCTATGATTATGATTGTGGTAAATTAGCAGAATAACTGCACAATGAAATTTAGGGCAAGGAACAGACATGACTAAAAGCACAACATTTGGTCCCCTAATATCAAACAACTGGGAAATCAAAACAGAAAAGAGGAAAAAAGGCAAGACACTCCAGCTAGTAGAGAGGGAGGAAGATCCATTATAGACAAATATGTTTCCATAGGACAGGAGTTTTTCTTTTTTCCTTCCACCATGGAGACTGGTTGGAATCTAATTCTCTTTGAACTTCTATGTAGGCAGTAGAGAAGTGGCTGTGTGAAAAGAATGCTAGCAAAGGAGACACAGGCATAATGATCCAAGCAGAACTGGAACTCAGTGTCTCCGGCTTCATTTCTCATCCATCCCTTGTGTAGGGACTCCCACACTTCCTTTCTGCGTTCCTTATACATCAAACTCTAATTTAGTACTGTCAGCAATACAGAAGCCCTTGGAACAAAACTCTATTTGGCTTGTTGAAAGGGTAAAGTATGTATCATAAATGAGAAAAATTTCAGATCAAAGGCAATTTGCCTTGAAGGGTTAATCAGAATAAATTGAGCCAAATGGTAGTTTAATACAAATAAAGTGAATTGAACCAACAAGTAGGAATTTAAAGGTTAAAAAAGAAAATCTGACTCCTCCTCCTCCTTTCTGACAAATCAGAACATGCACTTATTTTTGGTACTTATTGTACCAAAAAGGGATCCGTCAACTCCTAGTCCAATGGACTCCTTACTGACCTCCATAGCAGCCTGGCTCAAGGGAGATGGCCTGACATCTTGGTTACAAGAAACTCTATGCCTTTCCATTATCTTGTCAAAATGATACAAAGGTATCTGCAATTAAACTCTAAAGCCAGAATCTCACACTGAACAGTATCTTTAAAGGGAGTTAATCTCTTCATACAGTCCTTGTATTCTTCTAATCAATGTGACTCTGGCATGTGGCTATAAAGATGAGTGTGTTCACCCTAATTCGGCTCTCCTAAGACAGAAATGCCACTGCTATCCTGTGGAGTCTGCACACTACCTCTGCCAAGGTATTTTCTTTATCATGGTCTTGTTTGAACTCTTTTTCTGGGAAAGTAAGTCTAGGGCTCTGACTGGACTGGATTTTAAGGAGCTAGAGCTAATCCTGAGAGAAAAGGCGGAGGAGGGCCAAGGAGATAGTTTAAAGTGCATCTAAACCAAAGGTCTGTGGAAAATGATAAAAACCGAACCAGTAACTAGAAGATATTGATTTAGGCTCCCATCATCGATAACCTAGTCTAACTAGTCTCCCAGGCTCTTTTCTTATTTTTCAATTTTTTGTTTTTATGAGATGGAGTCTTGCTCTTGTTGCCCAGGCTGGAATGCAATGGCACAATCTCGGCTCACTGCAACCTCTGCCTCCCAGGTTCAGGCAATTCTCCTGCCTTAGCCTCCCGAGTAGCTGGGATTACAGGTGTGCGCCACCACCCTTGGCTAATTTTTGTATTTTTGGTAGAGAGAGGGTTTCACCATGTTGGTCAGGCTGGTCTCCAATTCCTGACCTCAGGTGATCCACCTGCCTCGGCCTCCCAAAGTCCTGGGATTACAGGCGTGAGCCACTGTGCCCGACCTCAATTTTTAAAATTTATTTTTTATTTACTTATTTTTAGAGACAGAGTCTTATAATGTTGCCCAGGCTGCTCTTGAACTCCTGGGTTCAAGCAATCTTCCCACCTCAGCCTTCTGAGTAGCTGGAATTATAGGTGCGCATCACTGTGCCTGGAAGTCTCCCAGGCTCTCGATCCACCTCCAATTCATTTTCCATTCCATAGGTAGGAGACACTTCTAAAATGCAAATCTGTTCAGGTTAATTCCTGTTTAAAAATCTTTAATAGCTTCCCATTGCCTTCAGTATAGCGCTTAAATGCCTTAAGAAGGTCTATAAGGCCCTAAATGATCTGGGCTCTGCTGTCTTTTTTCCATTCCTCTCTTGTCTGGAACTGGCACACAATTTGTTTACTCTACCTAGAACAACCAACCCCTGCTCCAACCTTTCAGATCTCTGTTTATATATAACCTTTTCTGGTAAGCCTCCCCTTATCCTCCAAGACTAACTTAGGAGCCCTTCCTAAAGTAGCCTAAACTTATCAGAACACATTCCCTACCATGTAATTGCCCAGTTACATGTTCGCCTCTCCCACTACACTTAGGATCTACAAGAGTAGGAACTATGCCTGCTTTAGTCACCATGATATACCCAGGATGTAGCACAGTGCCAGACACACAGTAGGTCACGAATATATGTTAAATGAACAAAAGGAAGGGAGTGAAGAGTGAGGAAGGAAGGAAAAGAACCACAACAAAGAAGGAGCCTGTTCCTGAGAATGGTTGAAAGATGGAGTCTGAAGTGGTTCCCTGAAACCCTGTAGGTTTAAAGCAAGATGCCTATGCCTTTTAAAGTTGGGTGCCTGTGGCTTTAGCCATAGTAGACAAGGAGCTAGACAAGATCTTGTTGTTCCAGAGCAGATGTTAAAAACTATAGTTTCCAAGGGAAGAACACACCAAGAGATGCAGATGTGGGACAACATTTGGCGCTAAGAAAGAGGCTCAGGATATGGGGAGGGAAAATGAAAAAAGAGAGGAAACTGTTTTTGCTAGTTTGTAAAAAGCAAACACACAAACAAACAAAATAACAAAGAAGGGTCAAATCCTGATTCCAGTAAGGTAACCTTTGACAATTCATTTAGCTTCTTTTAATAAGCGACTTGATAGTGATTTTCAAACTGAGTTCTGAGGAACCCTAGGTCACTGCAGAAGCTCCTCAGGGTTTATTTTGAAGAATAGAGAAAGTTCAATGAATGCTGCCCCAACTTTGACCAGAGAAAAATTGTTTTTTACACATTGAGGTTCTGCTTAAAGTCCATTTCAAAAAAGGGTGCTTCTGCTAAAAATAAAGTTTGAATAGCAGTGGCCTGGATGACCATTCTGATACTTCCCAGCCTTAACAACCCTTGATTCTATGTGACAGATGGGACCCATCTGGACATTGCCTTTTACTTTGTACAAATATTCCTCAATTGTGTTGATGACACAGCTGTAGCTTTTCCCAGAGTCTGTTTTCACTGCTTGAGAAGAATGACAGGAAGGGTAAGTAAACCACAGTCCAGGTTCACTGCAAGGCTCAGACAATAATAAAATGCACTTCTAAACTGCATTCAACTGTGGCAATACAGAAGCACAAAGAACATTTTTTTTTTCCTAAACAAAGTTTTGTATACCTGTACCCTAGGATTCATCATATAGGTGTCTTGTGTCTGACACAAAGATATTATAGGTCAAAAATAAAGAATACTAGATCTAGAGCCCATTAAAAAAATCAATCTAATTCCAATCAAGAAAGACTACAAAAATTTATCTAGTCAGTCCACCTGATACCATTACCATTACCATAATGATACTACATTACCATTTAAATGTAGTGCCTATTCTTCTTAACAAGGTATTCTGAATGTACAAAAGAATACAACAAAGTTACTTATCTGAAGGTTACAGGCAGGAAATGACATAGATGAGAGGGAGACGGGAGTCTTACAAAATAAGATCTTCAAATCCCAGGCTTAAGATAGAGATCCCTTTTCTGTGCTGTTCCTTGGCTGTCTATATTTCATGGAGCACTAAAAGGCCACAAATGTCACTCTACTTCAATTATGAGAAAAGACAAGCAACAATGTGATCTTACCTGGGTCCTTCCTCATCGCCCTGAAAGACAAACAGAAAGAAACAGTATTAGAAATCACTGTTGGTACAGACAGAGTCAGATTTCTTTCTTTTCCCTCCCCTCTCCCAACCTGAATGCATGGACTATACATTTATTGTAACAGAGACAAACCAACAGACATCTAAAGGCTAAGACAAGAGCTAATATAATCCTATGTTCAAACTGCCCAGTGGAGATGACCTGATAATTTGCCCTGACAAGCAGAGCAGAGAAGTGAATGCACAGACCTAGGAGGCCTAAATAATTGCCTTGCCTTTTTATTTGTATGGCTGGCAGTATTTAGTTCTTAGCAAAGTGAGAAACCCAAAATAGAGGCACGTCTTAGACAAAAGCTAGCCAGTTCCAAAAACATCAAACTGTTTCCTTCAAAGACTCATTTCTGCCTTGTTCTAGCATTTTTCATCAAACATGAACACTGCAATTCTAATATAAAGAACACTGTGGTATAAAGGGCACTGAACTGGGACTCAAGAAATTGGGATTCTAGTCCAAGCTCTGTTACTTATTAGTTATGTGTCCTTGGGCAAACATTAATTAATCTGGACTTTGGTCTTCTCCTCCGTAAGTGGTTAGTTCTGGCATTTGATGATCCACATCATTCTTCCATCAAACAATGGCTCTTCTCTTTTTCTTGCCCACTTTTCAAAAACAATGTGTTAACATTATTTTTCCAGGTATGGCATTCTCTCAACCTAACTTTATCAGAAGTGATCACAGCAGATTCCTTTGAGCTTCCTTCTGTGATCAAATTAGATTTTTCAAATAACTCTCAAGCCTTTCCCAAGGGACCTCATTCATCCTTTTGGTGTCAGCGTATCTTTTATATCCTTCTTTTTAGCCATTGAAGGGTAGTCTCAATAGAGAATGTACATTCTGGTTGTACTCCTCGGAGAATGAATGAATGAATGAATGGTTCCTACTGGTATAAGGCAGAATGAGCTCTCAAGTCCGATGTTCTGGGTTCAAGTCTTAACCCTATCACTCTACTGCTCTAATAGCTTACTCATGTTATTTTGCCTTTCTTAACTTCAATTTCCTAATTTGTAAAATGGGGTAATAATTGTCTCTGTATCATAGGATGAGTATGAGGATTAAATGAAATAATGCTTATAATCATCAAACACAGTGCCTGTGACACAGGATGTATTTAATAAAGGCTATATATCAGTATCAGTAACAATTCAGTAGGATTCATTAAGAAGCTACTATATATATATATGCTAACTAAGGAAAAACAATCACTCATAATGATCTAACCTTCTAGGATTTTCGAATCAGGAGCATGAGAAACAGGCAGAAAGAAAATGAACTATTACTAAATGTGTTATGATCAATATCAAAGACATAAACAGAATAATATGAGAATCAACAGGGAAGTTATGAACACTGCCTCTCCTGGAGAAGGTGGGAAAAGCTTCACACACAGAAGGTAACATTGATATTGCCACTTTGAGGGATAAATAGTATTTTCCCAGGCTGACAACAGAGAAAAGTGGGAAGAACACTGAACTAGCAAGAGCAAAGGCAAATTTCTAAAAATGTGTTGTTCAAGGGACCTTGAGTTCTGTGAAACTACAGAATGGGGATGTGCACATGTGTGTTTTGGGCAGGGCGCTGGGGGTGGTATAAGGTTGGAACTGAGGGCAATGTGGGGTTGAGCGTGACTGAGGTAAAGGGAGACTGCCAGGGTGCAAGCCTGTAAAGTACAGCTGCAGCCAGAAAGGTGATTTAAATCAAACTAGCCATTTGAGGTCGAATAAGAAGGGCATTTTTGGCAGACTGTTAAAGATCTGCAATAGTGGGAAGGGCGTTAATCATCCACACTCCAACTAGAGGGAAGTAGGGCGAGTGGTAGAGGGAGGGTATAGGGATGGTGGAAAATTTCTTCGCATTTTTATCATCTGATATGTCTCATGGGATCTATAATATACCAATAAAAAGTTATATAATTTAAATTTAACATGAGTTACATAACTATGAATGACATAATTATATCTCAACACAAATTTTTCAATTATTTTTGGATGTTTAAGCCTAATTGTCTAAGATAACTTTATGGAAAAAATATCTAAACTTTCTCCCATAATTTAGAGCAAGTCCTCCTCAAAATCACATACCTTGGTGTAATGATTAAGAGACAGGGTTTCTCAGTTATAATATAAAAACATGGTCTCAAATTCTGGTTCATTAATCCCAAAAGTGAAGCTTTTGGCAATTTTCTTCTCCAAGGTTCAGTTTCTCCATCTGCACATAAAGATCCTAGTTCTTACCTCAAAGGGTCACCATATGGATTAAAATAAATGAGAAAATCTGTGTAAAACACTAAGCAAGTGTCTAGTACCTTGTAATCGTTCAACAAATAGTAGCCATTATTTTACTTTCCTTGAATTGTTAATTAATAACATTTCTAGGGGAGAGCGGGGAAGGACAGAAAAGATGGGACACAAAGTTTTGCTATATGTTCATCCAATTCTACTGCTTATAGATGTATGCTTCTTTTCAGAAACAATGGTCACTGTTACAAAGCAAGAATATACACACACATATGAATTATAAAGCCGTTTTGAATAGGTTGGCACGGAGAGGATTGCTAACCTTGCTAGTAAAAGATATGCATGTGATGTTCCTGCTACCTGAAATGCACATCCCTATTCTAAAAACCTAGCTAATTCCTATCTATCCTTTAAGATCAAGCCTTACTCGAAACTTCTTCACTAACATCTTGAATAAGTTAATCCTCCTCCTTTCTCCCACATTTGTAGGGTTTGCCACTCTACACTAGTACTTAGAGAAGAAAACTGACAATGACAACATCAAACAGTGCCTCCCTCTTTGGATTTCAACTCCTTGAGAATAGAACTTGTGTTTTGCTCATTTCTGTATTCACCGCACCTAACACAGCACAAGGCTCATAGTAAATAATTATTCAAGATATAGGTAAGCTTTAAGATTAATTTCTACTCCTATTATAAGCAAATTCTGGTTTCAGAGAATATCAGAAGTGAGAGTCTATTAAATACCAACTTCCATTTAAATGACTTGTTAGATTAAGCACTGCTCCCAAATCCCTAATTATCACAAATGCTCTTTGTGATATCTGATGGCAGACTGCACTCTTGTGCAACCTCCCATTTCTACCTCCACCAGTGGAAATGTTGTTCACCAAGAATCAAACAAGGCTGTTTATATGAACTTGTAATGATGACACATTTAATTAAATAACAAAAAGTGAATGCAAGAGAGATAACTTGCTCACATAAGAACTAAGTTGAATGCATCCACAGAATTTAATAAAGATGAATTACTTAAAAATTGTTGTCAATTTTGGTGTAGGTGAAACACAAGCAAAATACTAGAAACAGTAAGTTATAAGAACTAAGATTCTGCATTCAGCTTGCTTTGAATGGTATCACCCTCACTATAGACAGTCTGAAATTGGACCTTATAAATGGCGCAAAATGGGTATGGTTTAGCCAGAAACATGACATTTAACTCTAATTAGCAAACCCATATTTTCAAAGTCCTTGCCTCAGAATAAAAAAAAAAGTACAAATATGTTTCAAGTTTAAAATAAATGGTTATCATATGCATGTATCATTTTTAATGGTTTACCCATCTGAACATACTTTTTCCAATATTAGCTCATTGCAACTCAGTATTCTCCTTACCAAACTGGACAAAAGACAAAAATGCTCATGACATATAAATAAAGACACACCAATTTTTAATACTTAGCTTTATAAAGAGTTTTATAAAATGATGTAAGTAAATTCTGCAAAAAACAGTGAGAAAAAAAAATAAAGGAGAAGGGAATACTTTTCAGTTTGTTTTATGAAGCCAACATAATCCTAATACCCAAACCTGACAATGGCATTATAAAAATATATAAACCAATATGCCTTATGAACAAAGACACAAAACTCCTGAACAAAATATAAGCAAACTGAACCCAGATTATACATCATGGCCAAATGGGACTTTATCTCAGAAATGCAAGGTTAGTTTAATATTGTAAAATTAACCAACATGATTAACCATTACAACAGAATAATGAAAAAAATGCGTATGATCATTTCAAGAGATACAGAAGATATATCTCACAAAAGTCAACATCAGTTTGTATAAAAGCCCTCAGCACATTAGGAATAGAAAGGCACTTCCTGAATCTGATAAAAGGCATCTACAAAAAACATCATACTTAATAGTAATATACTGAATCCCTTCCTTCTAAGATTATGAACAAGGCAAGGATGTCCACTTTTACCATTTATGTTAGACATTGCACTGGAGGTTGTAGCCACTGCAGTAAGACAAGACAAAGAAATAAAAAGCATAAAGATTAGAAACAAAGAAAGTAAAACTGTCTCTATTTGTAGATGGCATAATTGCTGATATAGAAAATCCTAAAGAATCTATAAAGCCACTATTATAACTAATAGGTGAATGTGACAAGGTTACAAGATATAAGGCTAATATCTGCAGTGAGCCGAGATCACGCCACTGCACTCCAGCCTGGGCGACAGCAAACCTCCGTCTCAAAAAAAAAAAAAAAAAAGATATAAGGCTAATATATAAAAACCAATTATATTTTTATATACTAACATAAGCTGAAAAATGAAATTTAAAAACAATTCTATTTTCAATAGTACTGAAAATATTAAATAACTAGGAATAAATTTAATAAAAGCCATTAATACCTTTAAATGAAAACCATGAACCATTTCTGAGAGCATGTAAAAACAGACTTATAAATGGAGACATATGTTCATTCATACTGCTGTTCTGCAGAGCTAATGTGTCATTTCTCTTTAGCTACTCTGCTTTCAAGATTTTTTTTCTTTGTCATTAGTTTTCAGAAGTTTGACTCTGATGTGTCTGGCTATGGATTTCTTAGTTTATCTTGCTTAGGTTCACTCTGCTTCTTAAATCTGTAGGTTTATGTCTTTCAGCCAAATTTTAGATATTTTAAGACACTATTACTTCAAACTATTTTTTCAGCTCTACTTTCCTTTTTCCCCTCTTGACACTGGTGACATGTATCTTTCATTATTGTCCTATAAGTCCCTGAAGCTCAGTTCAATTATTTTTCCATGTTTTTTTGCTGCTGTTTAGATTGGATCAGTATCAATCTATCTTCAAATTCACCAAATCTTTCTTTCGGTTTGCCATTAAGCCCATCCAGTGAATTTTTGGTGTCAGTTACTGTATTTTTCAGTTCTAAAATTTTCATTTGGTACTTTTTAATATCTTTATTTCTTTATTGAGGTTTTCATTTATTTCCAGAGTGCTTGTAATTGCTCACTGAAACATTCTTATAACAGCAGGTTAAAATCTTTGTCTTTTAATTCCTACATCTATGCCATCTTAGAGTTAGCATATATCAATTCTCTTTTCTCCTTAGAATTGAGATTTTCATTTCATTTTATTTTTGAGACAGGGTCTTGCACTGTCACCCATACTGGGGTATAGTGCTGTGAACACAGATCACTGCAGCCTCAACCTCCTGGGTTCAAACGATCCTCTTGCCTCGGGCTTACAGAATTGAGATTTTTATTGGTTCTTTGGTCTGTATCCTGGACATGATGAGTTATATTATAAAAACCTAGTTCCTATTTAAATCTTCTATTTTAGCAGTCAACCTGTTTAGATTCAGAATGCATGTCCTGGATCCTTTTTGTGAACTATGGTTCATATGTCACCTTAAGTTTATAAAGCCTCTACAGTGCTATTCTTGTCTGCCCCACTCAAATGACAGGACTCCATTCTACATTCTCCACAGAGCTAGTTGGGGAGGAGGAGGGAAACCAAATCATTACTACAGGGCAGGAGTGAATGATAAAATTCCAATAACTGACTCAGCTGGGGAAGTGCATAGCCTAGTTAATGCAGGGGTGAGAGGGAGGAGTTAGAGCTCTATCTACAGTCTCCAAAACGAAGAGGTACTACTTCCTCCGTACTATTACTGCAGGGTACGGCAGAAGTCAGAGTTCCACCTACGGATGCATAGGAGATGGGTTCCACTCATTACTGGGAGGAGCAGGGCCAAAGGTAGAAGTAAGAGTTTCACCCACAGGCTCCATAGAGAAAGATACCTCATTAACATAGGGCATATATAAAATGAGTGAGTTTCACTCACTGGCTCCACTGCTGCGTGCCAATTGGGGTTGAGGAGCAGTGCCACTTTTTTCATGATGTTTGCTTCCAGAAGCAGGCTTTTCTTGGGTATTTTTTTTTTGTCTGTGTGTATTAGTGTTTCCAGTTTGTAGAACACCCAGGCTAGCATACATAGGAAGTAAAGAAAACCCCAGGGAATTCACTGCCTTGTATCCTCTCAAATCCCAAGGTCCCTGATCAGTATGCCATCTTTTTTCCACCTGCAAGAGTCTTTTGGTAGATGATTTCAGCATTTTTGCCCAGAGATTTCTACTGTAATAAGTGAAAGGAGTAAAATAGAATGTGTTTACTCCATCTTGCTCAGAACCAGAAGCTGCAATTTGCTTTAAATATGCCAAAAATAAAATAGATCAGTGAGTGGAAGGTTGAAAAGATGGCTAGATATGTAATGAAGCAAGTACGGCAAAATGTTAATAGGAGAATCTAGGTGGTAGGTACATAGGCATAATCTGTAAAATCCTTTCAACTGTGGTGTATGTTTAAAAAATTTTATAATAAAATGTTGGAGGGAAGGTCTTATGGCTGAATTCAAAATGCAGGTGATTTTTGATAAATTCTATACCACAAAAAGAACATAATTCCTCTGATGACTGAAAGACAGGTACTAGATATTTGCTCTCACCAATAAGTTACCAGATTAACTGGAACAAGAGGCTATTAAATAATAACAGCTCTTTGTAAACACTCTAGTGGCTGAACGCTATCTCTGTTTTTAATAGCTCATTTTGTCTGTAGCCTGGTCCTTAAGCCTTGTCAGCTCTTGCATCCCTTTAAGAGTAATTCCATCAGAGTTAACAAGCATAGTACAGCTGAGGTGCTTAAAGGACAGCTAATGTCAGAGAAGGACTAAATTCATAGATTAAAATAAAAGAGAAGAATAAACCCCAAAATTAAACTTTTTTTTTTGAGATGGAGTTTCACTCTGTCTCCCAGGCTGGGGTGCAGTGGCTGCAATCTTGGCTCACTGCAACCTCCACCTCCTGGGTTCAAGCGATTCTTCTGCCTCAGCCTCCCAAGTAGCTGGGACTGCAGGTGCTCGCCACCATACCCAGCTAATTTTTCTATTTTTAGTACAGACAGGGTTTTGCCATGTTGGCCAGGGCAGGCTTAAACTCCTGACCTCAGGTGATCCTCCCACCTCGGCCTGCCAAAGTGCTGGGATTACAGGCGTGAGCCACCACGCCTAGCCAAAATTAAATTTTTATTTTTCAAAGAACAACCTAATCAACATAGGGAATAAATGAAGGGGTCGAACTTGATAGGAACTGTGGACAGAATTATGCTGTCGATCCCTTGAATTAACTCTGGTTGAACCTTTTGTTTATTAAGACACAAACTGACCATCTTGACATTGTAAAGGTATGCAAAGCTGTCTAGAACATGGATTCTTCTCATTTTCCCACAGATACAGATGGGATGCTTAGCATATGTCTTATAGTAGGGGGAAAGCACAGGCACTGAAATAGCACAGACTTAAATCTAAACCCTGGCTCTATTTTCTACTGACTAAATGATATTGGGTCAGTATCTCTGCAGTTCTCTGTATCTCAAATATCCCATTTGTAAAATGGAGTTAATGCTGACGTAAGGATTAAATGAAATGATGAATATAAAGTGCTCTCTTGCCTATCTAGAAACTTATGTAGGCACATAATTTCTCAATTATGGGGAGAATAAAATGAAAAGAAGAAGAGTTATTCTTTTCACACATTGATGAAAATTAATCAAAAGCCCTGGATGGGTATAGCAGATACCTTTCAATGGTTTCTTACATTTCCTGTCAGGATAGCTTGGAAATACCTGCCTCCTGGATTACTTTGGCTCTTCTACTGGCCAGTTTATTCTGTGGCCAGGCTCTCTCAAGCCAAGGCAGGACGTCCAGTTAAGGATGGACTTGCTGAGTCAGCAACAGTCCTAGAAAGTCCACAGGACTCTCCTATGTTTTTTTTCTAGAAGGACCTACCCTAAACCTATCTGGCATTACCTTCACTAGAATTGTCAAATTATGAAATCTGATTAATAGTAGCCTCTCTCTAGTGGCTGAAATATAAGTTTTTTGGTTTTTTTTTTTTTTTGAGACAGGATCTCACTCTGTCACACAGGGTGGAGTGCAATGGCACAATCACAGCTCACTGCAGCCTCAACCTCCGGGGCTCAAGTAATCTTCCTACCTCTCCTGAATAGCTGGGACTACAGGCAGGTGAGACCATGTCTGCTACTTTTTTATTTTTTTTTTGTAGACACAGGGTCTCACTATGTTGCCCAGGCTGGTCTCAAACTCCTGGACTCAAGCAATCCTTCCACCCTAGCCTCCCAAAGTGCTGGGATTACAGGCGTGAGCCACTGAGCCCAGCTTGTACTTTTTTTTTTTAATGGCTACCTTAAATAATTTTTTCAAAGTAGATTCAAAATGCCTAAATATGTTGTTTGGTAAAATGCCTAAGACCCTTTTATTCCCGTTAAAAATAACAATGAATATGACAACTAACATTTGTATAGTGATTCAACATTTACCTTGTGTCTTTCATTCATAGTTTTTTTTTTTTTTTAATCTTACAATGCCCTAGTGCACATGCCATTCTTAATCCAGCAGTTATGCCTCCAATTTATGCAGCTGGCTCCATATAACAACCAGCTTGAGACACCTTTTCACTATGTACAAAGTAAGTCCAAAATCTTTCATTCTGGCCTGCTTTATGCTCTACTTCATGATTTGTTCTCATTCAGCCCAGGTCTATGATGACTTTAAAGGCTCATTTCACAACTTGGGGTCTGTCGCTTGCCCTCTTCTCTGGCTGTAATTTTTGGCTTCCTTTCTTAATTGTGATTAGTATCTGCCCCCACTGACTATACTCCTTAAAGTAATGATGGATAAATAATTTGGTAGGCCCAGCCACTGAGTAAACTAGTGGCCAATACTTCCATACTGGTTTATACACCATGTGAAACACTTATACTCTACCTAGACTTCAATTCATTCACGTTCAGGGACCACATGGGGTCTAACAAATATGGCATCAGTTTCCTCCTATTTCTCTTGCTACTAATAATTATGGGCTTTTCCTTTACCTCTGCCTTTGGCTCAGCTGATTCATTAGAGGTATCAAGTTGTTCCTTGGCTTGGGCCATCTGAGTCATCAACCTATCCATGTGGGATTGGATGTCTGCCAGTATCTCAGTCACATGAGCTGTGGCCATTGCCTCTTGGATGTCCACTAGATGAAGGGCCTTCTGCTCCTCATCAGCAATCACTTTCTGAACTTTCTTAAATTCCTGCTGTATAAACATCTTCATTTGGTCCCGAGTTACCTTTAGAACAGAGACAAATAAGAAGAATAAGTTGAACATACAAAGAAACAAAAGGGCAGAGTTATTACTATACAGCCCTGGCCAAAATACACACCATGGATCCTATCCAATCCTAAAGTTTTGGGAATATCCTAAAAACAATGTTCCCCTAATATCATTGATGAATTTCCTGCTAATCTTTTTGCCTTTTTCATTCTTCAGGGAGTAATTTCTTATCCTTTTTTCCTTTCGGTTTTGTTCATTTTTATACCAGTAATATATACGATGAATATATACAGTAAAAAATGAGGCCGGGCGTGGTGGCTCATGAATGTAATCCTAGCACTTTGGGAGGCCAAGGCGGCTGGATCACTTGAGGTCAGGAGTTCGAAACCAGCCTGGCCAACATGAGGAAACCCTGTCTCTACTAAAAATACAAAAAAACTTGCTGGGCATGGTGGTGGGTGCCTGTAATCCCAGCTACTTGGGAGGCTGAGGCAGGAGAATTGCTTGAACCAAGAAGGTGGAGGTTGCAGTGAGCCCAGATCGCACCACTGCACTCCACCCTGGGCAACAGAGCAAGTCTCCATCTCAAAACAAAACAAAAAACGAAATTCTTCCTCTCCGCCCCAATTACTGTTAATAGTTTGGTATGTATCCTCCCAGCCATTTTTCTATATAGTTATGTACATATATGTATATAGATAATTAAGTAGTTTTTATATAAATGAATCATAGGGAAAATATGGTTGTCTTACTTTTCTACTTAAGATATATTTGTGCATACAGATCAACTTCATTCTACTATTTTTACTATCTGTATGATATGGAGATGGAGGGTGTGTGTGTGTGTGTGTGTGTGTGTGTGTGTGTGTGTGAGTGTGTGCATGTCTCCTAGTTAACCATTCCTCTCTTAATGGAAGTACAGGATATTTCCAAATTTTTGCTTTTATAAACAACACAGCAATAAACATCCTTGGCTATATCTCTTAATATACGCATATGAGTTTTTTAAAGATGTTTAGAGCCACTTAGTAAATTGGCATATACTCTAAAAATATTGGTTCATACTGCCAAGGTGCCTTCTGAGAAAGATGTATTGATTACATTCCTACAACAACATATGAAAGTAAGCATTTTCCTACACCCTTGCCAATACTGGATTATATCAAGCTTTTAAACTTTTACTATCATGGGTGCAAATATATTATTGTTTTATTTTATAACAACTGCAAACCAAAGAAAATACAACTGCTAGCTATATTTATGCTTAGGGCATAAGAAAGGCTAACAAAGTGAGAAATTATCAAAATGAGAACTTCTAAACTCCAAATTTTACCAGCAACTGTATTTATTGATGTTTCCTCACAACCATGTTTATTTTATGATTATTTTAAAACAACTATGCATATTATGAGTGTAGCTGAGATAGGGAGCAGGGAAGAAGTAAACCGTAGACAAAAGGAGAAAGGCAGAAGAAAAGCCAATGGAGGATTTTAGAACTGGAAGAGAAAACAGTTGTCATCTAAATGAACCCCTTCCTTTTACAGATAAGGAAATGGACACGGTTGCAAACCTGTAGAAGAGGGAAAGACTCCAATCTTCTTGTTCTCAGTCTGGTGCTCTGTTCACTATAAAAGTCTGCCAGAAGGGAAGTCAAACTGGGAAAACCTAAGAAAGGAAACTGTGAAAGACAAAGCCTACAGGAGGGGGTAGCAGATTAATTTTTAATTAGCCCCTTAGAAACCGAAAGAAGCTTGATACCTTACGCAGCTTTTGTAACACTACTAAGGACATCAGTGCAAAATAAGGCCTGTATGACATGTATCTGCTCACACATCAAGTGACTAAGTGTCATAAGCCCTCATATACTCTCTGCAGGTGCTCTCCTTGGTGCTGGAGAAAATGGGAAAGTGTATTAAATGTTATTAATGTCCCTGTAAATTCTGTATCAGATTGAGAACTGTGATTTGTGTTTATATAATTCCTTTTTATTTTTAGTGTATGTATTTTAGGGCTATTATGCTTTACAGTGATCATTGATCAATGGATCTCTACTCCTGAAATAAATTGAGTCTCAAATGACTAGGTCCTTCTCTCAGAGACCAAACCTTTTCACTAAGGGATGGACTTTTCTGAATGCCTGAGAAACTCTCTTAATGGCTACCAGTAACTAAAAATGGATATCATAATAAAAACTGACTCACAACCTATTTTACTAGACTTCACATACACATGTGGTTCAGTTAGGAAGCTGACATCTCACTTAGTAAAGGTGTGGGCCAGACTGCAGCAGGTGAATGAGTCATGGATTTTAAAATTCTCTATTTCCCATGGCTTTAATTACATAGGGTTTTCAGCATGACACTGTATTTTATACAGATCAGGTCACAAATGAAAACTGAAGGAAAAAATAATCCGCTTTACAAAACCTTTATGCCTTTTTCCCACTCTCATTCTCTAATTAACAAATAAGCATTTTCCAACCTAAGACATCAAAACCTTTGGCATGTTAGTTACAATCAAGCTGATATATCTTTGTTATAGTTGCATTAGGGTGAAGTGGAATATGATTAAACATAGCATTGTATTGAAATTATAACATAGCACTGCAATTTGAAAATTTTGACCACTGTATGGTCAGAACTACCTATTGAACATCTGAATCTAACCTTCTAATTTTATAGGTGAAGGGGAAAAAAAGTCACAGAGAAGTACGATAATAAAGTTAGGTTTAGAAACTTTCCTCTGGTCCAGTCTAATGTACTTTTACAACTCATCATTTCAAAAGAGTTATAAATGAGAATCTGTCGAAACAAGAAAAAGAAAGAGAAGGAGAGATAGAGAAAGAGAGAGAGAGACGAGGGAGGGAGAGAGTTGGAAGGGGGAGAGGGAGGGAGGGAGGTAGAGAGAGACAGAAGGAGGGAGGTAGAGAGAGAAAGAGAGAGAGATTGAAAAACAATTTGTTTCAGAAAAGTATTGCTGAGATGAACTGAGAATAATGGTCAGGGTTAGGAGCAGGAAGCTACTCAAAAGAGAAGCATCCAAATCTACACTGAATATTTCAGAAACATTTGTTTTGTCACAGGCGTCTGAACCAAAGCCACTCCATTTTGAATACAGGCTGGGTAAAATAAGACTGAGACCTACTGGGCTGCCTTCCCAGAAGGTTAGGCATTCTTAGGATGAGATAAGAGGTCGGCACAAGATACAGGTCATAAAGACCTTGCTGATAAAGCACGTTTGCAGTAAAGAAGCTGGCCAAATCCCACTAAAATAGGATGGCGATGAGAATGACCTCTGGTGGTCCTCACCATTACAGTCCCACCAGCACCATGACAGTTTACAAATACCATGGGAATGCCAGGAAGTTACTCTATATGGTCTAAAAAGGGGAGGCATGAATAATCCACCCCTTGCTTAGCATATGATCAAGAGATAACCATAAAAATAGGCAACCAGCAGCCCTTGGGGCTGCTCTGCCTATGGAGTAGCCATTTTTTCATTCCTCTACTTTCTTAATAAACTTGCTTTCATTTCACTATATGGACTCGCCCTGAATTCTTTCGTGAGCAAGATCCAAGAACCCTCTCTGGGGTCTGGGTCAGGACCCCTATTTGGTAACAGTCCTACAAGCCAAATTTCCTGCAAGGTGTTAAGGAGACTACTCCAAAAATAACTTTAAAAATTGTAGACTGCATGAAATAGAGTTTGAAGACTCTAAATATCTCCCCAAAAAGTCCATTTTCACTTCCCTCTTCCTCATTTGAAAGGCCATTGTTCTAAAACAGAAAAACAAAAAAGCAGGAAATGGAACTTTTTCAGATGCTACAAGCTGTCCACACTCCCACAGCACAGTGTCCTCCCCACTTGCCAGTGTCTATGGAAACTTCAAGTTGGGAAGTTCAAAGTTAAGGCATCTGTTTAGCCTTCAGCATTTATTCCTACATTGTACTCCAAGACAGCTCCTTCCAAACTTAGGCCAGACTCCAGTGAGGGCAGGCAAGGGAAAAACTTCATCAACAAGGAGGTCAAGGCTTTTTCAATGGATGGCAAGATCTCCTATTTCTTGTGTCTTTTGTGTATCAGTGGAATAGCCACTATTTGTGAATAAAACAACTGCCCACCCACCAGGCTTAGAAAATTATTCAGCAGCCTAGAAACACGGTAGACATAAACTCTGAACAGCATTCCACTACCAACATTCTCAGTGATGTCATCCTCAGCGACCTAGTTAGAAGCCTGAAATGAGCAGGTTTTACAATGGGGTATTGAGAATGAAAGGACAAAAGTTTACTGAAGTGAACATTTAAACTCTTCATTAAGCTATCTTTCTCATCTTCTTCAGAAGCCTCCAGGCAAAAGCAGTCATTTGTATCTTTACTTCTTTCATCACCTCCACTTTGTTAATAAGGTACTACCACTGGAACTCTATCTCAGTTAACCGCTTAGTTACTTCAGGTATCCACTCAATGAAATAATATAATGGTATTTACTATTGCTGTTGTTACTGTTATTATTTTCATTATAAAAGACCAAAATAAATACCAAAATGTTGGAGAGTGGTTATCTGTGAATGGTGGAATTACAAGTACTTTTCTCTTTTTCACTTCTCAGTCCAAATTTTCTAAAATAACATGTAACACTTTTTAAAAACTATTTTTTAAAAGAAATGTGGCTTAAAGAAAATCTCAACAAAATACTAGCAAGTCAAATTAATCCATATATAAAAAGAATTATAGGCCAGGTGTGGTGGCTCATGCCTGTAATACCGGCACTTTGGGAGGTTGACGTGGGTGGATCACCTGAGGTCAGGAGTTTGAGACCAGCCCGGCCAACATGGTGAAAACCCACTTCTACTAAAAATACAAAATTTAGCTGGGTGTGTTGGTGCACACCTATAATCCCAGCTACTCAGGAGGCTGAGGCACGAGAATCGCTTGAACCTGGGAGGCGGAGGTTGCAGTGAGGGGAGATGGTGCCACTGCACTCCAGCCTAGGTGACAGAGCAAGACTGTTAAAAAAAAAAAAAAAAGAATTATATACCATGACATAAATGAGGGATATATACCAAGTATGCAAGACTGGTTCAACATTTGAAAAATCAGCTAATATAATTTATCTACATCAACAGGCTAAAGAGGAAAAATCACAATAGATACAGAAAAATCACCTGACAAAACTCAACACTCATTTATTATAAAAACTCTCAGTACACTAGGAATGGGGTGGGGGGGAGCTTCCTCCACTTAATAAAGAACATCTACAATTACCTACAGCCAACAACACACTTAATGGTCAGAAACTCAAGGCTTTCCCGCTAAGATGAGGAACAAGGCAAGGATGTCCCCTCTCACCTTTTCTTTTCAACACTGTACTGAAAATCCTAGCTTACGCAGCAAGTCAAGAAAAGGAAATAAAAGGTATACAGATTGGGAAAGAAGAAATAAAACTGTCTTTGCAGATGATAAGATTGTCTATGTAGAAAATCTGAAAGAATTCACCAAAAAAAAAGGAAAAAAAAAAAAGAAAAAAACCTCCTGGAACCAACAGCAAGACTATAGGATAGAAGACTGATATACAGAAGTCAATCACCTTCCTATATACCAGCAGTGAACAAGCGCGATTTTAAGTTAAAAAGATAATACCATTTACATTAGCACCTCCAAAAATGAAATACTTAGGTATAATTCTAACAAAATACGTACAAGATCTATAAGAGGAAAACTATAAAACTCTAATATAAGAATTCAAAGAAGAAATAAATAGACATTCCATGTTGAGAAAAAGGCTCAATATTGTCAAGATGTCAGGTCTTCCAAAGTTGATCTACAGATTAACAAAATCCCAATCAAAATCCTAGCAAGTTATTTTGTGGATATCAACAAACTGATTCTAAAGTTTATTTGGAGTGGCAAAAGACCTAGAACAGTCAACCCAATATTGAAGAAGAACAAAGCCGAAGAACTGCCACTACTCAATTCAAGTCTTACTATAAAGCTGTAATAATCAAGACAGTGTGATACTAGCAAAAGAGTAGACAGATCAGTGAAACATGATGAAGAGCCTAGAAATGACCCAGGTACATATGTCAACTGATCTTTGACAAAGGAGCAAAGGTAATACAATAGAGAAAAGATAGTTGTGAACAAATGGTGCTGGAACAACTAGACATCCACATGAAAAAATAATAATAATCTAGACACAGACCTTACCAATTTTCACCAAAATTTATTCAAGATGGATTATGGACCTCAATGTAAAATGCAAAACTATAAAACTCTTAGAAGATAACATTTTAAAAAAGCTAGATGACCTTGGGTATAGTGATAACTTTTTAGATGTAACATCAATGTTAGTACCCATGAACAAAACAATTGATAAGCTGGACTTCATTAAAATGAAAAACCTCTGCTCTGTGAAAGAGAAGAGAAACCACAGACTGGGAAAAATACTAATAAAAGACATATCTAATAATGGACTGTTATCTAAAATATACTAAGAACCATAAACACTCAAAAATAAGAAAATGAACAACCTGATTAAAAAACAGACACCTCACTAAGAAGATATGCAGATGGCAAATAAGCACATGAAAAGATGCTCAACATCATATATCATTAGGAAATTACAAATTAAAACAACAGTGAGATTCCATACACACCTATTAGAATGGTTCAAGTCAAAACATTAACAAGATCAAATGCTGGCAAAGATGTGGAAGAACAGAAAATCTCATTCATTGCGGTGGGAATGCAAAATGGTAAGGCCACTTGGAAGACAGTTTGGCAGTTCTTACAAAACTAAATATACTCTTACCATAGAACCTAGCAATCATGCTCCTTGGTATTTGCCCAAATGAGTTGAAAACTTACATCCACATAAAAACCTGCAGACAGATGTTTATAGCAACTTTTATTCATAACTGCAGAAACTTGGAAGCAGCCAAGATGTTCTTTGGTAGGTAAAACAATAAATCAACTGTGGTACATCCAGACAACAGAATATTAATCAACCCCCCCGCCCCACCAAAAAAAGAAGAAAAACAAGAAAAAAAAAAAGCTATCAGGTCATGAACATACATGAGAGAATCTTAAGTGTATATTACTATGTGAAAGAAGCCAATCTAAAAGGCTTGGAATCAACTACATGTCATTATAGGAAAGGCAAAACTATGGAGACAGTAAAAAGATCAGTTGCCAGAGGTTTGGAGGAAGGGAAAATAAAAAGGCAGAGCACAGAGGATTTTTAGGGCAGTGAAACTACTCTGTATGATATTTTAATGGTATATACATTTATCAAAACCCATACAATATACAACACCAACAGTGAATCCTAATGCAAACTATAAACTTTGGGTGATAATGATATGTCAGTAGAGCTTCACCAATGAAAACAAATGTACTATTCTAGTACAGGATGATAATAGTTGGGGAGGCTACGCATGTGGGGAAGGAGTATATGGAAACTCTCTATATTTTCCATTCAATTTTTCTGTTAACCTAAAACCATGCTAAAAAATATCTATTTTTAAAATGTTAATATTATGTTGGTGCCATTTCACTGGCAAAAACTGCAATTACTTTTACACCAACCTAATACAATTAAAACAGAAAACTAAATAGCCACTGAGAAGCCTAGAGAAGATCTGGGGGTGGGGTGACCATCAAATGGACCAGGAAAGATAATTCTGCTTAAACCTTATACCCAGATTTGTCAACATTTTCATTCTCTGCCTTCCCATTTAATACCTTTAAGACCCTTCCTTCCCAATATGACTCCCCCTTTCTAGAATAATCAAAGTTTTTAAAAGCCCATTTCGATTTAAGCCCATGAAAATAATGACATCCAAAACAGCTAAGGAGCATTGTCAAAAGACAAGATTATTCTATTATCTTCTTCACTTCTTATTTTGGCTATCTCATCCTAACAACTACTGAGTTAGATTCCTGGTGCCCTGAATCTCCACTCTTGTTTTGGCAACAGATGTGATTAGAGACAAATCTGGATTAGTGAATTACTCCTTCAAGAGTCTAAAATCTATGCAGTTATATTATGTTAGAGATAAAAGGAAACTGAGTTTGGCTTTTCATTTTTTATAATAAAAAAAAAAAATGAGGCTCTGAGAAATTCAGCTACTTGCCCAAGATCACACAGCTGGTTGGTATGACTGACTGACATTTGGGGCCTCTGCTTCTATCTTGGTGCTTTCCTCTGTTCTGAATTGCTTACCAGTGGTCTAATCCTGGTTCTCAGAGGCACAGTTTTGTAACCGCCCAGTGGGTTCACTTTGCCTACTGCCCAGATAGAACCAATTTATCAAGAAAGGGGAATTACAATAGAGAAAGAGTTTAATGCACGCAGAGCTGGCTGAACAGGACACCAGAGTTTTATTATTACTCAAATCAGTCTCCTTGAAAATTTGAGGACTGGGGTTTTTTAAGGATAATTTGGCAGACAGGGGACCAGGGAGTCAGGAGTCCTGATTGGTCAGGTTGGAGATGAAATCACAGGGAGCTGACTTCTACCTTTGACACCAGACTTTAAAAAAAAAGTAACATACAAACACTTGCTACCCTTTTTTCCCCCACCACAAAGGCATCTACTAGTCACCAACTCTATTTAATTTCACTACTGACCTCTCTGTAGCATTCAGCATATTGACACCCCTTAGTCTTTAAACACCGCCCTCTGGGGGCAAAATCACTTTCCACTGAGAGAAGCACTACTCTACACTCTGCCTTAACAATTTCATTCCATCTTTGGAAATTCAACTACTACCTCCATAAGGATGGCTCCTATGCCTAGATTTTCTCTACAGGAAATCAGTCTCACAGTTGCTCTTGGCTGATGTACTTCTCTACCTGGATACATTTCTATTATCCAAACCATCAGGCGTCAAACTGAACCCTTCCCCTCCTCATTCATTATCACTGCTACCTTTTTTCAGTGCCCCACATATTAGACACTATTCTAAGCACTTTATGTGTATACTGCAATTAATTATCATGATGATGCCAAGAGGTGGCTAGTATTATTATACCCATTTACAGATGAAGAAATTGAAGAAGGGAGGTAAGAAACCTGCCCAAATTCAGGCATACAGTACGTAGCAGATTTTAAACCCAAATAGTTTGATTATACAATCTGCCTTCTGACCCAACATTATTCTCCTACAGATCCCCTTCAAATGTCAACTTGTTTCCTCTATTCCCCTTAATGACGCCATGATTTAGGCAGTTATCAGGCTCCAAACTCTGGAGTCAAGTTTTATTTTCTCCACCAGATAATAGGTCTCTTGACTTACTACTACCTCAAGGAAAAATTATGACACTTTAACTAAGGGCCCTGCAAAAAACAGTGGGCAATACATTCTGACTGAAGGTCAGAGGCTATCCCACATGTGTCCCTTTACCAGTCTGGCTGCAGAGATGTTGCCCCATATACATGAAAATCCCCTTCTTTTATTTGTATTCCCTTCCAAATACTCCCTGCTAAACACCTAGACCCATCTTCGAGGCTCCACTTTAGCACCCCCTGCTCACCCCATTTAGACCTTTTAACCTAGTCCCACTGCCCCCTGCACCACTAATTTGCTAAAACAAAATTCAAAGTCACAAAGAACTCTTGAGTGATTTGAGGACACTGGTTAGCATCTTGCTTCTAACTCCAACTTGTTCTTGATCAGCTTTCTGTCTCTTTTCATTTCCTCTTGGCCTTGAATCCTTGGCTTTCTATTCTTGGTCTCAAATCCCAGCTCTGGCCCCTTCAAACTTAGTGATTATATGTGCTCTTCACTCCCTCTGCCTTGGTGCTTGGAACACAGCTTTCTCTTATATAGTCTTTTTCTTGGCTTATAGCTTTGACTCCCAGAAACAAATGCTTTTGGATATGGTTTGGATCTGTGTCCCCACCCAAATCTCACATTCAATTGTAATCCACAATGTTGAAGGTGGGGCCTGGTGGGAGATGACTGGATCATAAGGGTGGAGTTCTCATGAGTGATTTACCACCATCCCTCTTGGTACTGTATAATGAGGGAGTTCTCACAAGATCTGGTTTAAAAATGGGTAGCACTTCCTTCCTCTCTCTCTTCCTCCTGCTCCAGCCACGTATGACATGCCTGCTTCCTCTTCACCTTCCACAATGACTGTAAGTTTTCTGAGGCCTCCCCAGAAGCCACTATGCTTCCTGTACAGCCTGCAGAACCGTGAGCCAATTAAACCTCTTTTCTTTGTAAATTACCCAGTCTCAGGTAGTTCTTTATACCAATGCAAGAATGGACTAATACACCCCCTATCTCAGTCAGACTACTCCATCCTTCCTCTACTTGTGGCCAGAATATTTCTTCATAAGACTATAAATTTTGGTACTTAAGCCCTAATTCTGTATTGTTCCTTAACAGCTTCATGAATATGACCCTATGCTTCTTCTGAATTGCCTTCCCTTCATGGTTCTCCCTCCTCCATATAGTCATAAATATACATGTCCTTGTGTACACCCACACCCACACCCACACACACACACACACACACACACATACACAGAGAGAATAATATAGGCTCAGGACCATGTTTCCTAGAGGCTTTGTACTTTAAAGGGCCTAATAACTGTGAAGTACACAGCAACTGTGCTCCCCAGTTACCTGAGACACAGTCACAGCTGACTGGCAAGCACCCCTTAACGTGAGAGATGGATGTCTAACCACTATGACTGTGGCATCGCCGCCAAGCATCCTCTCCTCCCAGGGCTGCTTGTTCACACTGTCAGCTGCTATAACTTTATTGCCATGACAACTTGATGTGTAACCCAGTGACATGACACTGAATTGGATGCAACAGAAAGCAGTTCACTGGGGATGCTGGGTTCACTATGACTCAATACTAATGCTTGCTCTTAAGTTGCTTCTCTTTGCCTGACCCCAGGGTGGCAATAAAGAAAGCAATCACAAACTTCTGAGCAAACAAAAAAATTCTGGGTGGCCCCTGCTATAGGAATATGAAACTAGAAGAATGTGTCCCCAGAGACACCCAGGACTTGTAACAACCAAGAATAAGGGTGAGAGCTTCTATTCCATCTTGTTTTCCTGCTTTCTTAACACCTTAGCCTATGCATAAACTAGAAAGACAACTTCTGCTTCGGGAACTATCGTGTAGAAGTGGGAGGTGGAAAGTGACACTGAAAGTTTGAGGGGCAACTATACAGAATTTATACTATTTTTAAGTCTTGACTTAAAATAAGTTAGACTTGAATATACAAAGAAAGCCTATTTTATCTGAAGATTAAAGCAATTTTAAAATAAGACTCAATCTCCATTCCAGTTCTCTCAAGCAGTTTCCCTATAAAGCCACAGTTATTTGTATTTTATTAAAACACAACACCAAAACAACTGCATACTGCCACAAATACTCAGGAAAGGGCACTGAGACGTAGCTCTCATGTTTGCTGAGTCTTCTTTCCTACATAGGGTCACAACGGTACAGCATATGGACTTTGATAGAGTAGAGAAAGGGGTTTGAGGACTGGTTCTGCTAACTCCATGCTTCTGAAGCTCAGAAAGGTGAAAATTTCTCCATAAAAAGTTTCTTTGTAAAATGAGGGTAATAATAACATTCTCATAGATATTTTTCTAAACTTAACACAAAATAATACATGGAAAGCACTTAGGGCTCTCCGGGCACACAGAACCATCAGCAGAACCATTCTGCTCATTAGAGATAATAGTAACTGTGAACTTTTATTGTGTGCCTCCCATATGGTATCTACTGAGCTCTCACAGAAGAAGAGTCCCCAATAAGCTTTCCTAAAGAAAAGAGGGAGCCTATGCCCTTGGGAGTTTAGATCTAATTTCCCAAGGGAACATCTAAAAGACTTTCCTACTCATCCTAGGCATTGAAAAGTAAAGATATCAATACTGAGGCTCCTTGCCTCAGTTTCAAATAAATGGCCACAAGGTGTCAAGGAGCAATGGCTGCCTTTTCTGATTTGATCAGATCTGACTGCCCAACATCTCAGGGTCAGTCTACTTCAATGATACAGAAGCAAAGTACAGAAAGCACAGGAAGGATGGGTCACATTCTGTTCCTCTGTACCTACACAAAGTCAGTCTATGGGCGTAGTTGGCTCCTCAATCTCACAACTTGCCTCTCATGGTATTTTCTCTTCTTTGTAGACTGAAACCCTACTCTACTCCCTTAAGGAGCTAACAACCTGCTTACCCAAGAACCACAGTGCTCTTAAACTAACTACAGTTGCTAACATACATTTAAGTCCCCAAAATCATCTTCCACTGTTTCTTATCTCCTCACAAGTTTTCATTTTCAGGATCTTCATTAATAAAAATATAGTATGATTAGTCCTCCTTTATAGATAAAACTGAAATATATGGACTCATGTCATCTGACTCCAATATTTGTGCTCTTTCACCAAAAAAAAAAAAAAAGCATGTCATATTCAATGTAAACTTTTACCCTTAAGTCTGAACAAATACTACATTGGAATACCATTCTCAATACATCTTCTATAGGCAAAAGTTAATAACTTCTATATAGAAGTCATAGAAAGGCAACTTACTAGCATCTTTAGCCTCGTGAACAAGTCACTTAACCTCTTAAATCTTTGTTTCTTCATTTATAAAAGGGGATCATAATGTCTAAATAAATGGGCTGAGTTAGGAAGTAGGGAGACATGGTAGAATCTATTTTGCCTGCTGCAGAGGTAAACAAAAGTCATTAAACAAGGGGATGAACATCAGCTGAATCACTGGGTTGAATGAAATGTCTCTTCGTAGGTGTAAAGACCTGATAAATTCTGCCCTTTGGCTAAATGCAGTCAATCAGGAGAGAGGCACTGTTCTCAAATTTTATATTTATATATATGTATAAGCATCTACATATAGATCTGAGGTAGACCGAGAGTTGCATTCTGCAGGTTTGGTCTAAGAATATCAAAGAAAACACCTTTTTCCCTGAGCAAATCTGATTTTATTTCTTTAACTGAATGAGAGCTTGAACTAACAGGGAAAGAGGAAGGAGGGGGACAGGAGAGCAGCAGGCCCTTAAATAAAAGTCTGGGTGATTTTATCACTATTATCACAATAAAGTTTTATATCTAGGTACCCCGGCTCCTAAATTAACTGTCAAATACAATCCTGCACTGGAAACCTGAAGCGTGGCTGCTATGGGGGAGTCCTGACAGCTTCACTCCTCTCTCCAGGTTCGCTGTGTAATCAGCCCTTCAAGCTTTTGGCAAAGAGTATACTATCAAGTCTCCTGTCAGTGCAGAGAGGAGCTGGAGCAGGAGGAAGAAGACATCACAAAGTGTTAATTTTATTAAGCCATTTAAAGCTCAATCCCTCTGCTTTGTAACAATGCTCCAGTCCACCAGGCAGCTTGGAAACCATGCCCACCTTAGTTTTTAAATGACTATAATCTATTGGTGCTGTGGTTCAATTAGGAGGTCTGGGGCTCCAGTAAGAAAGAGAAGGATAAGGTAAAGCTGCAGGGGAAGGGAGAAGAGGAGGTAGGGAGTGAAGAATCTCAGTAGCGTTTACTTTAAAGTGGGAATATATTTCCTAATGTGTTTCTTAAATAACTTTAAGTAAAGTTATTCCTAAAATAACTTCTTTATTTTTCTTATAGTTGGGCACCAAGCAGTTCTGCTAACTAGGGAGTCTGCTTCATAACAATAAACATACTTGCTTCAATGCATTGATTTCTTCTTTCTATTGGGAATATATGGACACACAACTACACACTCCCAAGGCAGATACATTTGCTTTGACTTGAACAGGCAACAGACCTATGCTGAACTACTGCCAGTTACTCTGCAGCCAGGCAAGTTCACTCACAGAGTGAGTGAGCCAACAAACCACACACCAAGGGATCCCAAAAGTGGAGACTGAACTCAATTTATTTGCAAGTCATTATCACTCAAACAGGTATCAATGGCCCTTTAAAACATGCAATTGGTGTCATTATTCCTAGGAAGTGTTAATTGATCAAAGCATAGAATTATTTATAAACAGGTGGCTTATTTTTCTCTACAAGGCTTGGAAGGTTTCTGGAACTTTGTGGGGAGGAAGGTGCCCTCACGTACCCTTGCCCTTCTGCTGGAAGTAAGGGTTATTCTCCGGACTGGAGGCTAACAGCAGCCACAATTTATAGGAGGCTGTACTCTGCACTTTTTTTGAAACAGGATCTCACTATGTTGCCCAGGCTGGAGTGCAGTGGTACAGCCATGGCTCACTGCAGCCTCGATCTCCTGGGGTCAAGAGATCCTCCCACCTCAGTCTCCCAAGTAGCTGGGACAATAGGCATGTGCCTCTATGCCTGGCTAATTTTTTTTTAATTTTTAGTAGAGATGGGGGGTCTCCTTAATGTACTCAACACTTTAAAAGGATTATCTCACTTATTTTCCCAACAACCTATGAAATATGTACTATTATTCCCTATTTTGGAACTGAAAAAAAAAAAAACAAAAAATCTGAGAAATGAAGAGATTAAGCACAGATTTGCCCAAGGTCAGATAGCATTGAGCTGATAGGGCAATTCCTGAACTTTTAATAATTGTAGTATACTGCCTCCTCCTGTCAGAGGCCAACATCAGGTTTTTAACCCTCATCCCTGTCAGGAAGAGAAAAGGAAAAAGAAAATTAATATTCACTGCTGACACTTCAAGTGAATGGTTGAAAAAACTGATTCAGGCAGTAATCTTGTTCTCTTTCAACAGTTTTATTGAGATATAATTCACATATTTTACAATTTACCCATTTAAAGTATACAATTTTGTGGTTTGTAGTATATTCCCAGAGTTGTGCAACTATCATTACCATTGGTTTTAAAACATTTTCATCACCCCCAAAAGAAACCCCATTGCTATTAGCAGTCACCCCACATTCCTCCACCTCCCTCAGTCCCATACAGTATTGAGTCTCTTTCTATCTCTATATATTTGCCTATTCTGAACATTTCATATAGATAGAATCATATATTTGGTCTTTTGTGAATAACTTCTGTCAGTAACTACTGATGGGGTTCAAGATATGCTATCCCAAAATATGACTGTAGGAGGCCAGAATATTCCATCCCAAAATACGCCTCTTTGGCAGAAGAATTGTTTTGAGCTGATTATTTGGAGAAACTGCAAATACAGGAGAAGTACTGAAAACAAGGGAAGTTACCCTTTTGTAAGAGAAATGTACATCTGTAAAGGAAATCTCCATTTGCAGGGTTGTCTCCCTCTCTATACCAGGAAGAGAAGGATGACTTCCAATCACTAGAAACTCTTTTATGTTATAAATGGAGAAGGCACCAACTTAAATCTGCATAATAAACTTTACCTTTGTTTACTATGCTTTTCCTGGGCATCTCCCCATAACTAGCCTTCCCTTCCATGGTATTCATGCCTGAACTCAAAGCTACCTCTTTGGGATTTACTTATCTTCCCTTAGGTATCACATGCACACACGAGGTATATATGTTAATAAACTTGTTTTTCTCTTGATAATCTGTCTTTGTTAAAAGGGTTTGTCTCAACTAAGAATGCTGAAGGGTAGACAGGAAAATTATTGTTCAGAATCCCAGTTTTCTAAATTGAGGTTCAACAATGGAACAGGATTCAAATGATAAAATTGTATCCATTTATAAGAGATAACCTTAGGTGAAAAAGGTAGGATACAAAGCTCTCTCTCTATATATATATAAAGCAAACTAAATATGGCCTGAAAAGGACTCTGTAATTCTATATTTGAGTCCTTGTGGATGAACTGTAACCTAACTTAATAGACAAGATTGAAAACTTAATTTAGGAGTATGCGCCTGTAACAATCACTGAGTCTTCGCCAATCCCAGCAGCCATATTTCATCCAGTCACACACTGCTGAGGGTTCAAACTGTGTGCAAATAAGGCAACTGCTGAACTGTAATGAATCCAGCTGTTTCTGTACCTCACTTCCAATTTCTGTATGTCATTTTACTTTTTTTTGGTCTATAAATTTGTTCTGACCACAAGGCATCCCTGGAGTCTCTCTGAATCTGCTGTGATTCTGGGGGCTGCCCGATTCACAAATTGTTCATTTTTCAATTAGACTCCTTTAAATTTAATTCAGCTGACGTTTTTGTTTAAACAAATGGTGTCAGAAGTGGGGTCTGAAGTATAGCTTCTAACGACCCCCAGGAGTGCTGAGTGAACAAGTAAGGTGCCCACAGGATCCACTTGTGTCCTCTGATCTCTCAGAGTAGCTGGGGAGTGTAAGTTGTCTCTTGGATTTTGGAGCCCCACGGATTTGCATTTTGAGCTCTCCGAGTTTCTTTGAGCAAATTTCTGAACCAAACTGGGTTTGGAAGTCATGACGGAAACTGGGCTGGGTCCAGGAATGGATTTGGTCTGGTAATTAATTGGCTTGGATCCAGTTAGAGGCCTCTTACATCTGACTGGGTCAGAAAGAAACTGACAGCAAATGGTAATATTTTAGGGGTATAAAATTTAGCTCTTAAAGATTTGCAAGGATTTTTTTGTTTCATCCCTTTGTTTCATTTTTCTTGCCCACTTAGGTAGGAAAAATCATTGGCTAGGTTAATCAAGGGAATCTGAGAGCAAAGCCAATATTTTATGTAAAAATGGGATACATAACTTCTGAAAACCTGAGTTCCTTCTGGCTTATGCATTAGGCACAGGAGGCAGCAAAGTCTCACAGAAAATGACAAAATCTTACTAAAGGTAACTTACAGTAGAATGTTCTGAATAAACAACAATGCACTGAAGTGCATTTACAAATGAGAGCCTCCAAAAATTAAATCTGCTAATCTTTCAGCTTAGTTACTATCCCCATCCAAAGGAAATAAACTGCAGCACCAATTGGCTGACTTTGGATAAGTAATGGGGTACGTTTTACCTGAGTAAAGGAAGGGATTGGGGTAGAGGTCCTCCTCTCAGTAAAGTTCTTTTTTTTTGGGGGGGGGGCATGGCAACATCAGTGCATGTTTATTTATTTATTTTAATGTGTTTTCATTTTTTATTTATTTTTTATTATTATTATATTTTAAGTTTTAGGGTACATGTGCACAATGTGCAGGTTAGTTACAGTTGTATACATGTGCCATGCTGGTGTGCTGCACCCATTAACTAGTCATTTAGCATTAGGTATATCCCCTAATGCTCTCCCTCCCTCCTCCCCACACCCCACAACAGTCCCCAGAGTGTGATGTTCCCCTTCCTGCGTCCATGTGTTCTCATTGTTCAATTCCCACCTGTGAGTGAGAATATGCAGTGTTTGGTTTTTTGTTCTTACGATAGTTTACTGAGAATGATGATTTCCAATTTCATCCATGTCCCTACAAAGGACATGAACTCTTCATTTTTATGGCTGCATAGTATTCCATGGTGTATATGTGCCACATTTTCTTAATCCAGTCTATCATTGTTGGACATTTGGGTTGGTTCCAAGTCTTTGCTATTGTGAATAGTGCCACAATAAACATACATGTGCATGTGTCTTTATAGCAGCATGATTTATAATCCTTTGGGTACATACCCAGTAATGGGATGGCTGGGTCAAATGGTATTTCTAGTTCTAGATCCCTGAGGAATCGCCACACTCACTGACTTCCATAATGGTTGAACTAGTTTACAGTCCCACCAACACTGTAAAAGTGTTCCTATTTCTCCACATCCTCTCCAGCACCTGTTGTTTCCTGACTTTTTAAATGATCGCCATTCTAACTGGTGTGAGATGGTATCTCATTGTGGTTTTGATTTGCATTTCTCTGATGGCCAGTGATGATGAGCATTTTTTCATGTGTCTTTTGGCTGCATGAATGTCTTCTTTTGAGAAGTGTCTGTTCATATCCTTTGCCCACTTTTTGATGGGGTTGTATTTTTCTTGTAAATTTGCTTGAGTTCATTGTAGATTCTGGATATTAGCCCTTTGTCAGATGAGTAGGTTGCAAAAATTTTCTCCCATTTTGTAGGTTGCCTGTTCACTCTGATGGTAGTTTCTTTTGCTGTGCAGAAGCTCTTTAGTTTAATTAGATCCCATTTGTCAATTTTGGCTTTTGTTGCCATTGCTTTTGGTGTTTTAGACGTGAAGTCCTTGCCCATGCCTGTGTCTTGAATGGTATTGCCTGGGTTTTCTAGGATTTTTATGGTTTTAGGTCTAACATGTAAGTCTTTAATCCATCTTGAATTAATTTTTGTATAAGGTGTAAGGAAGGGATCCAGTTTCAGCTTTCTACATATGGCTAGCCAGTTTTCCCAGCACCATTTATTAAATAGGGAATCCTTTCCCCATCTCTTGTTTTTGTCAGGTTTGTCAAAGAACAGATAGTTGTAGATATGCGGCGTTATTTCTGAGGGCTCTTTTCTGTTCCAATGATCTATATCTCTGTTTTGGTACCAGTACCATGCTGTTTTGGTTACTGTAGCCTTGTAGTATAGTTTGAAGTCAGGTAGCATGACACCTCCAGCTTTTCCTTTTGGCTTACAATTGACTTGGTGATGCGGGCTCTTTTTTGGTTCCATATGAACTTTAAAGTAGTTTTTTCCAATTCTGTGAAGAAAGTCATTGGTAGCTTCATGGGGATGGCATTGAATCTATAAATTACCTTGGGCAGTATGGCCATTTTCACGATATTGATTCTTCCTACCCATGAGCATGGAATGTTCTTCCATTTCTTCGTATCCTCTTTTGTTTCATTGAGCAGTGGTTTGTAGTTCTCCTTGAAGAGGTCCTTCACGTCCCTTGTAAGTTGGATTCCTAGGTATTGTATTCTCTTTGAAGCAATTGTGAATGGGAGTTCACTCATGATTTGGCTCTCTGTTTGTCTGTTATTGGTGTATAAGAATGCGTGTGATTTTTGTACATTGATTTTGTATCCTGAGAATTTGCTGAAGTTGCTTATCAGCTTAAGGAGATTTTGGGCTGAAACAATGGGGTTTTCTAGATATACAATCATGTCATCTGCAAACAGGGACAATTTGACTTCCTCTTTTCCTAATTGAATACCCTTTATTTCCTTCTCCTGCCTAATTGCCCTGGCCAGAACTTCCAACACTATGTTGAATAGGAGTGGTGAGAGAGGGCATCCCTGTCTTGTGCCAGTTTTCAAAGGGAATGCTTCCAGTTTTTGCCCATTCAGTATGATATTGGCTGTGGGTTTGTCAAAGATAGCTCTTATTATTTTGAGATATGTCCCATCAATACCTAATTTATTGAGAGTTTTTAGCATGAAGGGTTGTTGAATTTTGTCAAAGGCCTTTTCTGCATCTATTGAGATAATCATGTGGTTTTTGTCTTTGGTTCTGTTTATATGCTAGATTACATTTATTGATTTGCGTATATTGAACCAGCCTTGCTTCCCAGGGATGAAGCCCACTCGATCATGATGGATAAGCTTTTTGATGTGCTGCTGGATTCGGTTTGCCAGTATTTTATTGAGGATTTTTGCATCGATGTTCATCAAGGATATTGGTCTAAAATTCTTTTTTTTGGTTGTATCTCTGCCCGGTTTTGGTATCAGGATGATGCTGGCCTCATAAAATGAGTTAGGGAGGATTCCCTCTTTTTCTATTGATTGGAATAGTTTCAGAAGGAACGGTACCATTTACTCCTTGTACCTCTGGTAGAATTCGGCTGTGAATCCATCTGGTCCTGGACTCTTTTTGGTTGGTAAGCTATTGATTGTTGCCACAATTTCAGAGCCTGTTATTGGTCTATTCAGAGATTCAACTTCTTCCTGGTTTAGTCTTGGGAGGGTGCATGTGTCAAGGAATTTATCCATTTCTTCTAGATTTTCTAATTTATTTGCGTAGAGGTGTTTGTAGTATTCTCTGATGATAGTTTGCATTTCTGTGGGATCGGTGGTGATATCCCCTTTATCATTTTTTATTGTGTCTATTTGATTCTTCTCTCTTTTCTTCTTTATTAGTCTTGCTAGCAGTCTATCAATTTTGTTGATCCCTTCAAAAAACCAGCTCCTGGATTCATTAATTTTTTGAAGGTTTTTTTGTGTCTCTGTTTCCTTCAGTTCTGCTCTGATTTTAGTTATTTCTTGCCTCTGCTAGCTTTTGAATGTGTTTGCTCTTGCTTTTCTAGTTCTTTTAATTGTGATGTTAGGGTATCAATTTTGGATCTTTCCTGCTTTCTCTTGTGGGCATTTAGTGCTATAAATTTCCCTCTACACACTGCTTTGAATGTGTCCCAGAGATTCTGGTATGTTGTGTCTTTGTTCTCGTTGGTTTCAAAGAACATCTTTATTTCTGCCTTCATTTTGTTATGTACCCAGTAGTCATTCAGGAGCAGGTTGTTCAGTTTCCATGTAGTTGAGCAGTTTTGAGTGAGTTTCTTAATCCTGAGTTCTAGTTTGATTGCACTGTGGTCTGAGAGACAGTTTGCTATAATTTCTGATCTTTTACATTTGCTGAGGAGAGCTTTACTTCCCACTATGTGGTCAATTTTGGAATAGGTGTGGTGTGGTGCTGAAAAGAATGTATATTCTGTTGATTTGGGGTGGAGAATTCTGTAGATGTCTATTAGGTCCACTTGGTGCAGAGCTGAGTTCAATTCCTGGGTATCCTTGCTAACTTTCTGTCTCGTTGATCTGTCTAATGTTGACAGTGGGGTGTTAAAGTCTCCCATTATTATTGTGTGGGAATCTAAGTCTCTTCGTAGATCACTCAGGACTTGCTTTATGAATCTGGGTGCTCCTGTATTGGGTGCATATATATTTAGGATAGTTAGCTCTTCTTGTTGAATTGATCCCTTTACCATTATGTAATGGCCTTCTTTGTCTCTTTTGATCTTTGTTGGTTTAAAGTCTGTTTTATCAGAGACTAGGATTGCAACCCCTGCCTTTTTTTGTTTTCCATTGGCTTGGTAGATCTTCCTCCATCCTTTTATTTTGAGCCTATGTGTGTCTCTGCACGTGAGATGGGTTTCCTGAATACAGCACACTGATGGGTCTTGACTCTTTATCCAATTTGCCAGTCTGTGTCTTTTAATTGGAGCATTTAGTCCATTTACATTTAAAGTTAATATTGTTATGTGTGAATTTGATCCTGTCATTATGATGTTAGCTGGTTATTTTGCTCATTAGTTGATGCAGTTTCTTCCGAGCATCGATGGTCTTTACAACTTGGCATGATTTTGCAGTGGCTGGTACCGGTTGTTCCTTTGCATGTTTAGTGCTTCCTTCAGGAGCTCTTGTAAGGCAGGCCTGGTGGTGACAAAATCTCTCAGCATTTGCTTGTCTGTAAAGTATTTTATTTCTCCTTCGCTTATGAAGTTTAGTTTGGCTGGATATGTAATTCTGGATTGAAAATTCTTTTCTTTAAGAATGTTGAATATTGGCCCCCACTCTCTTCTGGCTTGTAGAGTTTCTGCCGAGAGATCCGCTGTTAGTCTGATGGGCTTCCCTTTGTGGGTAACCCGACCTTTCTCTCTGGCTGCCCTTAACATTTTGTCCTTCATTTCAACTTTGGTGAATCTGACAATTATGTGTCTTGGAGTTGCTCTTCTCGAGGAGTATCTTTGTGGCGTTCCCTGTATTTCCTGAATCTGAATGTTGGCCTGCCTTGCTAGATTGGGGAAGTTTCTCCTGGATAATATCCTGCAGAGTGTTTTCCAACTTGGTTCCATTCTCCCCATCACTTTCAGGTACACCAATCAGACGTAGATTTGGTCTTTTCACATAGTCCCATATTTCATGGAGGCTTTGTTCGTTCCTTTTTATTCTTTTTTCTCTAAACTTCCCTTCTTGCTTCATTTCCTTCATTTCATCTTCCATCACTGATACCCTTTCTTTCAGTTGATCGCATCGGCTCCTGAGGCTTCTGCATTCTTCACGTAGTTCTCGAGCCTTGGCTTTCAGCTCCATCAGCTCCTTTAAGCACTTCTCTGTATTGGTTATTCTAGTTATACATTCGTCTAAATTTTTTTCAAAGTTTTCAACTTCTTTGCCTTTGGTTTGAATTTCCTCCTGTAGCTCGGAGTAGTTTGATCGTCTGAAGCCTTCTTCTCTCAACTCGTCAAAGTCATTCTCCATCCAGCTTTGTTCCGTTGCTGGTGAGGAGCTGTGTTCCTTTGGAGAAGGAGAGGCACTCTACTTTTTAGAGTTTCCAGTTTTTCTGCTGTTTTTTTCCCATCTTTGTGGTTTTATCTACTTTTGGTCTTTGATGATGGTGATGTACAGATGGGTTTTTGGTGTGGATGTCCTTTCTGTTTGTTAGTTTTCCTTCTATCAGACAGGACCCTCAGCTGCAGGTCTGTTGGAGTTTGCTAGAGGTCCACTCCAGATCCTGTTTGCCTGGGTACCAGCAGCGGTGGCTGCAGAACAGCGGATTTTTGTGAACCGCGAATGCTGCCGTCTGATCGTTCCTCTGGAAGTTTTGTCTCAGGGGAGTACCCGGCCGTGTGAGGTGTCAGTCTACCCCTACTGGGGGGTGCCTCCCAGTTAGGCTGCTCGGGGGTCAGGGGTCAGGGACCCACTTGAGGAGGCAGTCTGCCCATTCTCAGATCTCCAGCTGCATGCTGAGAGAACCACTGCTCTCTTCAAAGCTGTCAAAGACAGGGATATTTAAGTCTGCAGAGGTTACTGCTGTCTTTTTGTTTGTCTGTGCCCCGCCCCCACAGGTGGAGCCTACAGAGGCAGGCAGGCCTCCTTGAGCTGTGGTGGGCTCCACCCAGTTCAAGCTTCCCGGCTGCTTTGTTTACCTAACCAAGCCTGGGCAATGGCGGGCACCCCTCCCTCAGCCTTGCTTCCGCCTTGCAGGTTTATCTCAGTCTGCTGTGCTAGCAATCAGCGAGACTCTGTGGGCATAGGACCCTCCGAGCCATGTGCGGGATATAATCTCCTGGTGCGCCGTTTTTTAAGCCCGTCGGAAAAGCGCGGTATTAGGGTGGGAGTGACCCGATTTTCCAGGTGCTGTCTGTCACCCCTTTCTTTGACTAGGAAAGGGAACTCCCTGACCCCTTGCGCTTCCCAAGTGAGGCAATGCCTCGCCCTGCTTCGGCTCGTGCATGGTGCGCTGCACCCACTGTCCTGCGCCCACTGTCTGGCACTCCCTAGTGAGATGAACCCGGTACTTCTGATGGAAATGCAGAAATCACCCGTCTTCTGCGTTGCTCACGCTGGGAGCTGTAGACTGGAGCTGTTCCTATTCGGCCATCTTTCAGTGTATGTTTTATAAGAACTATTGTATCGTCTATTAATGACACTTGATTGTTAATGAAATTTTTTTAGCCTAGGCTTCAAGAAACTGTGAATGAAATACACACACGCACAAACTATGTGCAAAATTTCACACACATGCCATCTACAATATGCATGGCAACACCAGAAAGTTCCAGGCCTTAGGGAGGGTCTTACTTCCTAGAATCTGCTGTAACATCACTTCACAGGATTTGCTGTGAGTGCTTGAGTCACAGCTGGCGCTCAATAAAGATGCGTTCTCCTTTTAAACACAAAAATGTCCACTGATACGGCAGATTCCGTTCATAGGCATCCTTAATCGCAGAAACAGGAGGGCAGCCCTTTTCCTCAAGGCACTCTCAGTCCAGGGATGTGCCCACTCCGCAGCCACACAAGCTGGCGTGGGATAGGGTCAAAGAACGGTGGATGCGCACGGGCCGCCCACACCCTCGCTGCCCTCCCGGAGCGTGGGCGAGTGATTCTGAATGTGCAGCAGAAAGCCAGGGTCTCATGGGAAGTAAAGTCCTTCTTGGTTAAAAATGGAATAAAGGTGACAGGGTCCAACCAAGGGCAAGTTTGAGTCCTGCCAGTTCAATATTGAGTGCTAAGCAGAGTGGCTTATTTCTAGGTTTAGTCACATGTATATTCCTCTGGCCAGAATGAAAAATGTTGACTGGGTTACCCCATATAACCCCTTGGGTGGCAACTTGCAAAATTGAGAGGCTTTTGCTATGGATCCATGAAACAAAAAAGATGATTTTCCTTTATGATACAGCTTGGCCCCCAGGGTTATAGTGTAGTAAGCAGGGTCACTAGGGCCTCTCTGGGAAAAGGAACCCAGAAGTCTGGCCTGCCAGCAAAATGGTAAGAACTACTTACCAGTCAGACTCTGGCCTCTCTCTCTCTGTGCAAACTGGTTAAATGAATCGTAAAAGTCACTGTTTATCTCCTCTATAAAGTTTGGGTTAATACAAAAAAAGAATTCTGAGGCTGGTCTTAAGCTGTAGTGAATCCAGTATGCTTTGCGTCTTTCTGTATTGTTTTGTCATAAAGAGGGGTACCTTAGGATAAAATGCGTGCCTAGGACCCCATAAGCCTGCTGTTCAAGACAGCCCAGAAAACTGGTCAGTTATGTCCTTGGGAGCTCGACCTTGTAACCACGTGACTGTGGTTTCTCTTTCCACAATGGCAGCCTGGGTTCAGGGTTCAATTCCCAGCTTAGGGAATGAGTACTTTCTGGTTTGAGATCTGCATGACCTTTATCATTTGTTGATTCTTTTTCCCTCCATTAACTATCTTAAATTTTCCTTTTTCTGAGCACAGAAATTGGTCATTTGGCCTAGCCAAAGTTGGGTAATATTCAAAAGGACTTTTTTTTTTTAAAGAGCACTATAGTTAAACGTCAGCTTAATTACAAGCAGATATTCAAGCTCTAACAGCCTGGGACTCCTTGGGAAAAACAGGCTGCGCAAAAGACCCCGTTTCGGGGGGAAAAAAAACAGACCTGTTTTCCTCATGGAACCCCAGGAATTGGAAATGGATAGATCTACCCAAAATCTAAGGCTCTGTTCCTTTTGGGATCCAGGATCTGGTATAAAAATGGGACCCTTAATTTTGGGGGACTTGTTTTGCCTTCCAGCTGTGCCTGCTTATTATATTAGGCCTTAGAAACTGCATGCTTTCCCGGCCCTGTTCTTCCAAGGACTCCACCCTAAACCCAGTAATCCAATTAAAAAAAAATTCAAAACTGGCAAATGAAAAATCTTACAACTACTGAATCTTCTGTGTAGTTATACATGTATCGTGTGTGTAATGTTTATATAAAACAGCTCTAATTAATTGACTTTAAGAATACGCCCTTAAATATTTTGTCAGAAAAATAAAAACAGTAATGTTGTAGTTCCATAACTTTAGTAATCTTTGGGAAATTAAAACTGCTTTTAAAAATTCTTCAATTTACCTACTTTGGAGCATTATATTGTAGATAAGTCCCGGGGACATATGGAATTAGCCACGCCCCCTAGCTATGCAAAGAAGGTTATAAAGAAAAGAGATTTTATATAAGAAAGGATTTTTTATGGGTAATTCTTGTCCTAAAGTAAAATAACTGGTTGTTTAAAGAGAGGGATGTTTAGGATAAGTTGGAAAATCCACACATGACATAGATGGTCTGTGTTGTTGTGAAAGGATTCATGAAAGGAAATGTATGCACCAAAAGTAAAAGTTGCTAAGAGTCACCATTATAACATATGATTGAGACTACTGAAAAAATAGTTTTACAAGCAAGGTGTGTGAGGAGAATGAAATGTACATTTGGTAAAAGATTACAAGGCATGGGAATGTAAATTTTTGCCTTGTTTGGAGGGTTAAAGGATTGTTTTAAATTAGATAAGAATAAGCTAAAGGTTTGAACAAGTTGTGGAAGGCTTGTAAAAATTAATCTTGTAAAAAAAAATTCTGTGTGTGAACACCTTGACTAAATTTAAAGCAGTATTTGCTGGTTTATCAGTAAATTGAACATAGAAATAAAAGCACAAACAGGGTTTTCTTAAGCACTTAAAGCACTGATCTGCTCTTAAACAAAAATTAGTAAAGGGCTATAAAAGGTTTATGAAACTTGGCAATGCAGGCTCTTTTTTGGTTCCGTATGAACTTTAAAGTAGTTTTTTCCAGTTCTGTGAAGAAAGTCATTGGTAGCTTCATGGGGATGGCATTGAATCTATAAATTACCTTGGGCAGTATGGCCATTTTCACGATATTGATTCTTCCTACCCATGAGCATGGAATGTTCTTCCATTTCTTTGTATCCTCTTTTATTTCACTGAGCAGTGGTTTGTAGTTCTCCTTGAAGAGCTCCTTCACGTCCCTTGTAAGTTGGATTCCTAGATATTTTAGTCTCTTTGAAGCAATTGTGAATGGGAGTTCACTCATGATTTGGCTGTTTGTCTGTTATTGGTGTATAAGAATGCTTGTGATTTTTGCACATTGATTTTGTATCCTGAGACTTTGCTGAAGTTGCCTATGGGCTTAAGGAGATTTTGGGCTGAGACGACGGCATTTTCTAGATATACAATCATGTCATCTGCAAACAGGGACAATTTGACTTCCTCTTTTCCTAACTGAATACCCTTTATTTCCTTCTCCTGCCTGATTGCCCTGGCCAGGACTTTCAACACTATGTTGAATAGGAGTGGTGAGAGAGGGCATCCCTGTCTTGTGCCAGTTTTCAAAGGGAATGCTTCCAGTTTTTGCCCATTCAGTATGATATTGGCTGTGGGTTTGTCATAGATGGCTCTTATTATTTTGAGATACGTCCCATCAATACCTAATTTATTGAGAGTTTTCAGCATGAAGGGTTGTTGAATTTTGTCAAAGGTCTTTTCTGTAACTATTGAGATAATCATGTAATTTTTGTCTTTGGTTCTGTTTATATGCTGGATTATGTTTATTGATTTGCGTATGTTGAACCAGACTTGCATCCCAGGGATGAAGCCCATTGCCAAGTCAATCCTAAGCCAAAAGAACAAAGCTGGAGGCATCACGCTACCTGACTTCAAACTATACTACAAGGCTACAGTAACCAAAACAGCATGGTACTGGTACCAAAACAGATATACAGACCAATGGAACAGAACAGAACCCTCAGAAATAATGCCGCTAATCTACAACTATCTGATCTTTGACAAACCTGACAAAAACAAGAGATGGGGAAAGGATTCCCTATTTAATAAATGGTGCTGGGAAAACTGGCTAGCCATATGTAGAAAGCTGAAACTGGATCCCTTCCTTACACCTTATACAAAAATTAATTCAAGATGGATTAAAGACTTACATGTTAGACCTAAAACCATAAAAATCCTAGAAAACCCAGGCAATACCATTCAAGACACAGGCATGGGCAAGGACTTCACGTCTAAAACACCAAAAGCAATGGCAACAAAAGCCAAAATTGACAAATGGGATCTAATTAAACTAAAGAGCTTCTGCACAGCAAAAGAAACTACCATCAGAGTGAACAGGCAACCTACAAAATGGGAGAAAATTTTTGCAACCTACTCATCTGACAAAGGGCTAATATCCAGAATCTACAATGAACTCAAGCAAATTTACAAGAAAAATACAACCCCATCAAAAAGTGGGCAAAGGATATGAACAGACACTTCTCAAAAGAAGACATTCATGCAGCCAAAAGACACATGAAAAAATGCTCATCATCACTGGCCATCAGAGAAATGCAAATCAAAACCACAATGAGATACTATCTCACACCAGTTAGAATGGCGATCATTTAAAAAGTCAGGAAACAACAGGTGCTGGAGAGGATGTGGAGAAATAGGAACACTTTTACAGTGTTGGTGGGACTGTAAACTAGTTCAACCATTATGGAAGTCAGTGAGTGTGGCGATTCCTCAGGGATCTAGAACTAGAAATACCATTTGACCCAGCCATCCCATTACTGGGTATGTACCCAAAGGATTATAAATCATGCTGCTATAAAGACACATGCACATGTATGTTTATTGTGGCACTATTCACAATAGCAAAGACTTGGAACCAACCCAAATGTCCAACAATGATAGACTGGATTAAGAAAATGTGGCACATCCAGTTAGAATGGCGATCATTAAAAAGTCAGGAAACAACAGGTGCTGGAGAGGATGTGGAGAAATGGGAACACTTTTACACTGTTGGTGGGAGTGTAAACTAGTTCAACCACTGTGGAAGTCAGTGTGGTGATTCCTCAGGGATCTAGAACTAGAAATACCATTTGACCCAGCCATCCCATTACTGGGTATATACCCAAAGGACTATAAATCATGCTGCTATAAAGACACATGCACACGTATGTTTATTGCGGCACTATTCACAATAGCAAAGACTTGGAACCAATCCAAATGTCCAACAACGATAGACTGGATTAAGAAAATGTGGCACATATACACCATGGAATACTATGCAGCCATAAAAAATGATGAGTTCATGTCCTTTGTAGGGACATGGATGCAACTGGAAACCATCATTCTCAACAAACTATCACAAGGACAAAAAACCAAACACCGCATATTCTCACTCATAGGTGGGAATTGAACAATGAGAACACATGGACACAGGAAGGGGAACATCACACTCTGGGGACTGTTGTGGGGTGTGGGGAGCGGGGAGGGATAGCATTAGGAGATATACCTAATGCTAAATGACCAGTTAATGGGTGCAGCACACCAACGTGGCACATGTATACATATGTACCAAACCTGCACATTGTGCACATGTACCCTAAAACTTAAAGGTATAATAAAATTAAAAAAAAAAAAGAAAACGTGGCACATATACACCATGGAATACTATGCAGCCATAAAAAAGGATGAGTTTATGTCCTTTGTAGGGACATGGATGCAGCTGGAAACCATCATTCTCAGCAAACTATCACAAGGACAGAAAACCAAACACTGCATGTTCTCACTCATAGGTGGGAACTCAACAATTAGAACACATGCACACAGGAAGGGGAACATCACACACCGGGGCCTGTTGTGGGGTGGGGGGAGGGGGAGGGATAGCATTAGGAGATATACCTAATGCTAAATGACGAGTTAATGGGTGCAGCACACCAACATGGCACATGTATACATATGTAACAAACCTGCACGTTGTGCACATGTACCCTAAAATTTAAAGTATAATAAAAAAAAAAGGTTTATGAAAATCTCACCTTATGGTCAAACTAAGATTGGAAAGATTTGTCTTTAAGGTTTTATTATAAATTGCGGTTGACATTAATAGTACAGTAGTACAACAGTGAAATTTGGCTTTCTCTCTTGAACAAGATTTTCATGTAATATTAAAAGATAATGAAACATTTTTGTTTGCCTTTTATTTAATTAATTAATTAATTAATTGTTGTTTTTTTTTTTGGACAGAGTTTCACTCTTGTTGCTCAGGCTGGAGTGCAATGGCATGATCTCGGCTCACCGCAACCTCCGCCTCCTGGGTTCAAGCAATTCTCCTACCTCAGCCTCCCAAGCAGCTGGGATTACAGGCATGCACCATGATGCCCAGCTAATTTTTGTATTTTTAGTAGAGATGGGGTTTCACCACGTTGGCCAGGATGATCTTGATCTCTTGACCTCGTGATCCACCCGCCTCGGCCTCCCAAAGTGCTGGGATTAGAGGCATGAGCCACTGCGCTTGGCCTTTGTTTGCCTTTAAATAAACTACCAAAAAAGGGGCTGGGGGAAAGACAAGAGACAGATGATTCGGAAAGTTAAGTCTTCACTCTATCAGTGAGTAAAGGTTTTAGCTTTTAAAAAATTTTTGACGGCTGCTTGCGGCGGCTCACGCCTGTATTCCCAGCACTTTGGGAGGCCGAGACAGGTGGATCACGAGGTCAGGAGATCGAGACCATCCTGGCTAACATGGTGAAACCCCGTCTGTACTAAAAATACAAAAAAATTAGCTGGGCATGGTAGCGGGCACCTGTAGTCCCAGCTACTCAGGAGGCTGAGGCAGGAGAATGGCATGAACCCGAGGCGGAGCTTGCAGTGAGCTGAGATTGCACCACTGCACTCCAGACTGGGCGACAGAGCATCTCGAGACTCCGTCTCAAAAAAAAAAAAAAAAAAAATTTGACTCATCATTTTGGCTAAATGAATGACTTACGGTAACCTGGAATTCTATTTCATAGTATCAAGTGTTTTAAACCTTTAACATATTTGATGGGGTACCAAAATCAAATTTCAGCTTCAAAATTGCCTTTTCTTTCCTCTAACACTGAAATGCTACAGAGGGCCCCGAAAGCATCCAAAAGAGAGGTAAACAGATTACAGATTTGACATGTTACATGGGAAGCATTGTCAAAAAAAAAAAAAAAAGTTTAATCTTCTTCAGATTATATTTTAGTGAGTGATATTAACATATGTTACAAAGTTGTACGAGATCTCTATAATTCTAATATGTCTGAGTATATGCTATTAATCATAACTGTGGTTATTATGTTAAGTTATTGTAGACCACAGAAATAACCAAATTTCCTTGTCAATTGTGTTTTCATCTATAATGATTTAAAGTCATTCCCACAGTTAATTGCTTAATGCTGATGCAGTTTCTGAAAACTTCATGAGCACACAAAATCCTAGAATATGGTGTCTTTTAGGAGGTTCAGGAAAGGATGAAAAGGATCCTAAAAAGCACTCTTAAATACAGGTTTCTAATAACTTCAGAATCATATCATTTGAACTGGGTAAGAATTCCTGGAACTTCAATGAAAAGACGGACTGGTTTATAAAACTGCTAACCCAAGCAGAACAAAAATTAATTAAATATCAAGAAAATTGCCAGATTTTAATGCAAAATCAGCTAATACTGAAATTGTTTAGATACACAATATGAATGAACTCTAAGGTCTAAGTCAAATTACCCAAGATAACCCATCAGTTATTAGTGCTATTCACATAGTTTGAAGAAACTACTGGTATTCAAGAGGACATAAGTCTAATGTTAATTAAGCATGGACTCATGGAGAACGAGGATGGGCACCTTGTCCTTCCTGAGTCCTTAAAGCATTCCATGACTCGTCGTAGAGAAGATAAAAATGATCCAAATTGAATATATTGGTGTGGTGACTTACAAATTGCTAAAATAGTTTATAAACAATGTTTGGTCCTATATTCCTAGGAAAACAATCAAAGCTTCAGGTACATCTGGTCACCTGATGGGCCATTTAAACATTTTATAAAAAGATTTCATTCAACTGTTATTTTCAATGCATGTTTTCTGGTTGCATAAAAGCTCTCCCCATGCAAGAGGACTAATGTTATAACACTAAGTTATTATGCTACAGTGTATTTTCACCAGGAAGCTTTTTTATGGTTCACTGAGGACAGTCAACCCCTTCACAATCTAGAACCCAAAGACCGGATCATCTAAGAACATCAGAGAAAGACTGTCCTTGCCATCCACATTGCAGCAAAACTTTGGAACCCTGAATTTTGGATTCATAATCTCACAACTGAGAAGGGTCCCTCCTCACTCTTAAAAATGTGCACTCATTGAAACCCTTAGGGTAAAGCTAACCAGGTAAGTCTCTCCCCAGAAAACGGCATCCTTGATGTGAACAGCTTTTCCCATGATCACAGATCAAGACTTCTACTATCATAAGACTCTTATCTTTGAATATTTTTTCTTGTTTATGCTTCTATGAACAAAACAAATGAAAAGGGGGTCTGTTGTGTGCACTTATAGGGTATACTTTTATTTGTGAAGGATTTTGCAGCCAGCCTTATTCATGGATAACCTTATACTTTATAAGGTAAAAGATGAAGGCCCAATGTAGGTGAGAAACTTTAATGGTACATACGTTGCCTCATCATCAGTCAGAAACATAACATTAATTCACTCTTCTTAATTCACATCATGAATTAAAGAGAACACTGCCAGGAAGCTTTCACTCTTCTAGAAGGGCATCATTTGTTAGGTCCTTTGTCCATGATTTGGAATAAAAAAGGCAATGATTAGAAACGTATCCCACGTAATCGGCTCTATAGCGGATTCTTCTGTAAAGGCTATGGTTACACAACAGACTTTAAATTCTCTTGTGAAAGTTAAGCTAAATAATAGAATTGGCTAAAAGAAAAGTATCTGTGTATGTGCAGCTGTTGGCAGTTGTGTCCTATGGAGAAAAAATCTGGTATTGTAGAGATTCAGTTTTAGAGGATTAATGAAGAGACTGCTTAGTTAAGTGAGTAGACTGGTTAGCTCATTCTTTGATCTATTTGATTTTAGGTGGTTTGGTTTATGGGGACCCTGGGTAAGGAGCATACTCCAAACTCTTGGTATTATCCTCCCAATAGTCATAATAGTCTCCCTAGCGCACTCTATTCTTTCCAACGTTTTAAATGTTTGCATACAGCCATCTCCAGAATGTCAAATGGTCTCTCTTCAACTGGAATGACAAGAGCTGAAAGAAATATTATAGGACACCATAACCTATGAATGACATGCTGAGACTGGAAACCCAAAATGATGGTAACTGAGGGTGGTGCTGAGGCTCTAAGTTTTGGTTACACTCACCTAAGTGAGAACCTGGTCAAAAGGGGAAATTTTTTAAAACAAAACTATGGGAGGCCATTGTTTTGGACTAAGCTCATGTACTAGGCCCCAACAGACCAAACCAAACAAAAATGGAGTCGCTCATGCTAAATGTGACCCAATCAAACTAAGACTTTAAAGAAACATAGATCCTAGACAGAAAGGACCGGGTTTTGTTTTTCTCCTGCAAACAGTATACTCCAGCATAAAGAGGTACCCACTACTCAGTCTCTGTGCCTATCTTTGCAAGACTCACTGTTCTACTGTTTCTCAGTGGGTTTCAAGACCAAATGAAGTACATTTATGATGGTAATACTGACATCAGTGACTAAAGTTTTAGTCAATCTCTCAAAATTGAGAAAATGACCAAAAGGGGGGAATTGTTAAAGCAAACTAAATATGGCCTGAGAAGGACTCCGTACTTCTATATTTGAGTCTTTGTGGATGAACTACAACCTAACTTAATAGGTAGACAAGATTGAAAACCTAACTTAGGAGTATGTGCCTGTTACAATCGCTGAGTCTTGGCCAATCCCAGCAGCCATACTTCAACCAGTATTTCTGTACCTCACTTCTGATTTCTTTATGTCACTTATTGTCTACCAATTTGTTCTGACCACGAGGCACCCCTGGAGTCTCTCTGAATCTGCTGTGATTCTGGGGGGCTGCCCAACTCAAGAATCGTCCATTGCTCAATTAAAGTCCCTAAAATTTAATTCGGCTAAAGTTTTTCTTTTTCTTTTTTTTTTTTTGAGACGGAATCTTGCTCTGTCGCCCAGGCTGGAGTGCAGTGGCATGATCTCGGCTCACTGCAAGCTCTGCCTCCTGGGTTCACACCATTCTCCTGCCTCAGCCTCCCAAGGAGCTGGGACTACAGGCGCCCACCACCATGCCTGGCTAATTTTTTGTATTTTTAGTAGAGATGAGGTTTCACTGTGTTGCCAGGATGGTCCCGATCTCCTGACCTCATGATCCGCCTGCCTTGGCCTCCCAAAGTGTTGGGATTACAGGCGTGAGCCACCGCACCTGGCCCTGAAGTTTTTCTTCTAACAATATATAATCCAGGTTAAACGTCCCAAATCCAAAACTCCAAAATCTGAAATCCTCCAAACTCCAAAATTCTTTGAGCACTGACAAAGGAAACGCTCACTGAAGCATTTCAGATTGCAGATTTTCAGATTAGGGAAGCTCAACTAGCATAACACAAATATTTGAAAATCCAAAATTCAAAATACTTCTGGTTCCAAACATTTCAGATAAGGGATACTCAATCTATAATACCATTTTATGCACAAAAGACAAAGAACCATAATATTACCCAGTTTTTTCCATAGGTGTCTTTCACCTCCAAGTATGGTCTCAAAAGAATGCACATGACCATGTGCATGAGAATCATCCAGGTTGCATATTTAAAAAGCATATATCAGAACCACAAAATCAGATGCTTTGAGTGAGGCTCAAGAATCTGCATTTCTTTATAAAAAGTAAGTACCCAAAGTTTACAAACCACTGCAAGGATAAAAAAAAAATGGGCGATTTTATTTCTTTCTTCTTTATACTTGGGTCTTCTACATTTTTCTACTGAAAACATATACAGATAGTCCCCATACAATGGTTTGACTTACGGTTTTTCTACTTTATGATGGTGCAAACGTGCTACACATTCAATAGAAACTACTTCAAGTACCTATACAACTATTCTGCTTTTTACTTTAAAAGTAAGCCTATTCAGCCAGGCATGGTGGCTCACGCCTGTAATCCCAGCACTTTGGGAGGCCAAGACAGGTGGATCACGAGGTCAGGAGATCGAGACCATTCTGGCTAACACAGTGAAACCCCGTCTCTACTAAAAATACAAAAAAATTAGCTGGGCATGGTGGCGGGCGCCTATAGTCCCAACTACTTGGGAGGCTGAGGCAGGAGAATGGTGTGAACCTGGGAGGTGGAGCTTACAGTAACTCGAGATCATGCCACTGCACTCCAGCCTGGGCAACACAGCAAGACTCTGTCTCAAAAATAGACAAATAAATAAATAAATGAAAATAAAATAAATAAGCCTATTCAACACTTTATTATGAAATAGGCTTTGGTTAGATTATTTTGCCCAACTATAGACTAATGTAAGTGTCCTGCACACGTTTAAGGTAGGCTAAGCTATGATGTTCAGTAGGTTGGATGTACTAAATGCATTTTTGACATAATATTTTCAACTTATAATGGGTTTATTGGGATGTAATCCCATTGTAAGTCAAGGAGCAACTGTATTTCTTTTATAATTGGGTAGGGGAGGATGAGAGGGGTAAGCTGTTTTGTTTTGATAAAGCCAGGGGAATGGTGAAGGAGGGAAAGAGCTTGTTTCTCCTTTTTCTCCTGCCCAAGTGTCTAGAGAGGATAAAAAGGGGCCACATTTACTTCTTCCTAGAGCAAGACTGAGGGAGCACAGGTATTTTTCCCATTTAGTGTCCTTCACTAATCGGGTCAAACTGTGGAAGCACTTGCCTCAGTTCTTCATTTAGCGAGGGCTAAATGCTCTGAGGGTTATGGCTTTTTTGCCATCTCCCCACATTTTCTGTTGGAAAAGGCCATTCTCCAGTCCTGGTTCTCTGGAGCTGTGGGGGACTGTGCTATGGCACAGGATCCCAGTAAAGGGAGGTAGAAGAAGAGTGTGATTAAAAAAATAATCAGTTAAGGGTCACATTGCTAGGGATGCCAGGCTATATATACATCTATTTACCCATGAATTCAATAACAGTGTATGGGTGAAGAACATGAAGTGAGACAAATCTCGAGTTAAGCCCTGGTCCCACCACTTACTAGCAAGCTATTTAACCCCTTGAAGTCTCAGAATGCTCATCCATAAAACAAGACAAATACTTACTTTTATAGGTTGCTGTAATAGATAATACATATCAATTACTATGTGCCAGGTTCCATGCTAATAAGGGCTGAAGATACAGGGATAAAATAAATATAACTCATGATCTCCAAAATTCCCTACTTACAACTTTTTAAATGAAAAGTCCAGAAATGGGTCAATAATTCTAGTAACTCATCAACCACAGGAACACTTCTATATGTAACAACTTGATAGCTGAGGCATCTCAATTCTCTGCTTCAGCTGGTTGAATAAACAGTGCCCCAGTGAATACTTCTTTTTTGGCACAGGGCAAGGATCAAGATGATGCCTGGCTTGATCCTTGTGAATAATGGGACACAATAGGACACAATAATAAGAATTTCAAATTAGGTTTTGCTTATATTCATCACTACCTGTACATTTAAAATTTGTATTTTTTGACAAGAATCTGATTATCACAGAAGAGTGAAGGACTAGGCTGTGTTCCATGCCAATGATATCAGCTATGACAAATGATTGCAGAGTTCTTTTGCAATTATAAAATGCTACATAAATGCTGAAATAAAAAAAGAAAACCATTCTTGGGTTTATTTAACTAATTTCATGCTGCTAGATAATTTTTTGGTTTCACACTTCAGTAAGAATACCTCTAGAGGCTAGAGGAAACAAAAGGAAAAAAAAACTGCTGTTTCAGGAAGCCTTGGGTATGATCAGATCCCATGTTTAATCCCACTCCAGTCACACAGAACAATGTGAGCCACTTGGCTCAAGTTTTAAGATGCTTCTTTTTGAGAATATAAGATTAGTATGAATTCAAGACACACAACTGTGCTAACTGTTTGCTTCAAGCACACCAGTTACAGGAAACAATGAACAGTGCATATCAGAGGGAAAGAAAAGCAATCAATACATAATAGAGAGAAAGTGGCTGTTATTAACTACATAATAAGAGGTTAGTTTGATTGAGCTTAGCATGTTGTACTTTTGGTTCAATGCTTTCTGAGGACTGGGCAGGGGGAAGGGAGGAAAGGGAATCAACGTGTTTTCCAAGCCTAGGTTACCTCTGAGTAAACTGTGAAAGATAACTGCATAGTCACTACAAAGGAAAGCTGTGAAGATAAAGAAATAAAAAAGCTCTAAATTTCTTAAAAATCCAAGTACAGACACACATATACACACATACCCCTGACTGATTACATTTTAAAATTTCCCTAAAGCCTACCATAAATGTACTCAATCTACAGATAAGAATCCTGCTTGTGCAATAGGTGTTTCAGAAAAGTTTGGCTGGAGAAAAAAAAGTTTGCAAACTAAACCAAGTCAAACACATTAGGACAGCGTATTATGTAAAAGACCATTTCCTACTAATCGTTTTGACAAACTAAAGATTGTTTGTTATTAAAAGTAATCTTCTTCCACGATATAGAGGGTTCTAGATGCCCAGAGGTATGTACCCTTTAAAACAGGGCTCACCACAGCAACATCCATGCACAAAACTTCATTCGGTCTTGTACCCTATTTCTTAACCATCACTGGCTCTGATTCCTCTCCTAAGGCTCACCCATAATGGCTGGTTGTTCCTGATTTTCCTCTGGTTTTAGAACTCAGCCTACACCTCAACCATGGCAGGGAGCTTTGATCATCCTCCTAAATCCCGACCAGGATCCCTTTCCCTCTTTTTGGCTTTGCTAATTCTCTGTTGGAAGTGACAGTGTAAAGCAGTCCCGTCCTTTTAGCCTAAGCTGACTTCCTAACCCACCTCTTTTTCCCCTCCCTACTCCTTTCCTACCTCTGCTCAACTTGTTTCATAAGCCTAGATTTTTATCTACCTTTTTTCCAAAGTTGAAATCACCTGGACTTATTTCTAGGGGCTCTTCTACTTGTTCAAAGAAGTGAAAAAAAATCATTAGCAAACATAGAGGAAAACAGCTAAGGTACAGCACAGAGGTTCTCAAAGTGTGGTACTTGAAACAGCAACATCAGCATCACCTGATAATTTCATAGAAATGAACATTGTCTAGCCACCCCAGGCCAATTGAATAAAAAACTCTGGAGGTGGGCACAGCACTCTATATTTTAATACGTCTTCTGGGTGATTTTCATGTACACTGAAGTTTAAGAACCTCTGGGTCTGGAAGAAAAGAAGATGTCTGACAAATGTTTTGAATAAAATGAGGCATCTCATTAAACAGAATCAAGTCTATATTTTTGACACAGAAGAATATCTAAGATATTCCACATAAAGGAAAAAGCAATTGTAAAACCATGGGTATAATTTTGTAAAAGAATTTTGAAAAGGTACTACATAGAAAAATGTCTAGAAGGTTACATACTAAACTGTTAACAGTGGCTAACTTAGGGGAGATTTTACTTTTTCTTTATGAATATCTGTATTTTTAAATCTATAAGTATGTATTATTTTATAATTTTAAAAAAATGATTAATTTAGACATCTTCTACTGCTCTCTAGCAAAACTCAAGAGGTAAAAATTAACTCATTCCCCAATAGGCTTCAGTGTCTGGACTAATCAAGCTTTGTGATGCTTTAGGGAATTCTAGAGGAAGTGAGGCAGAGATAGTGCTCAGTCCTCCATGACTCAATCAGTGCTTCTATGTAAAGCCTCTGTGCCCAGGAAATGACAGGTCACAAAGCCTAAGAGATTTCTGCCCTTCTTAAATAGGCCAACTCAAAAAGGGGATGGTGGGGCTCTGTGGGAAAACAGAACAGACAAAAACTTAAGGGTTGTCTTGGAAGATGCCAATTTATTTCTAGGAAAATCTTCTTTGTGCAGAAATTATATATTTAAGTGGCCTGTTTTTTACCCCCATTCCTGACCTGGCAGTCATTCTGCAATTACGTTCACCCTTCTTCAAGCTGGCTCCAAGTATATACAGCATATGGTTGTGGTAGACTAAAAAGGGGCTTGAAAATAAAATAGGTTGGTAGTAAATGATCCAGGGCAAAATAAAAAGAACGTAAAAAAGAGGTGCAGGTATACACACACACCCAAGATCAAGTCGGGTCCTTACAAATATCCTTTACCTTATGATGCATCAAGAGAAAACCCTGACACTTCCAGGGATTCCTCTCATGCAACCGCTCAAACCTTTCACTTTCTGGCAAGCTTTCCATCAGAAGCACTACATGCATTCATAAAGGATCCCAAAGCACTTTACCTGTATTATAGTCATACACAGAGAACACTCAGTGTGATTTGTACACATCCGCTCCCTCTTCACTGCACTGCTAATTATAAGTTTGGCGGAATCAGAATATGGTTGTCTCCTGCAGAACAGGAGTTGCTCCAGAAACCAGAGAAACTTGGTAAGAAAAGCTTTCAGTAACTTTTAATAAGTGGTTCATCCTAGCTAAAGGAAAAACTTTTATCAGGGGTCCTCCTACTTTGAGCTAGGAAAGTTGATAAAGGTTACTCTAATTTTTTCTATCTACCAACCTAACTCTCTACTTCTGGAACCCTGACTACACCAGAAGACAAGAGATCTTACCAATGTCCCCGATATTTTCATTGCCATATGAAGAGAAATTTATTCTTGTGGCTGCAGCCACCTTTTGAAGAGCCCACCAGTCTATGGCTCTGCCACATATTGTGTTTCAATTTAGAAAACTGCAGCACAATGTGATCATGTGGCAGAAAGGAGATAAAATCCAGTGCTTGGTTTGCATGACATAAGATAAAGAGTATAGGCACTGGAGTCAGAGTTTGAATTCCACATCTATATTACATTAGATTTGGGCAGATGATTCTACCTTTCTAAACCTCAGTGTTCTTATCAATAAAGTAGGAAGAAAATGCTACTTTACAGTGTTGTTAAATAATTAAAAGTATTTAAGGGGAGAGCAGGAATGAGAAGTTAGCATTTAATGGGTACCGAATTTCAGTTTGGGATAGTAAAAAAGCTCTAGAGATGGACAGTGATGATGGCTGCACAACAAAGTGTGGCCAGGTGTGGTGGCTCACGCCCATAATCCCAGCACTTTGGGAGACTGAGGCGGGCAGATCACTTGAGGTCAGGAGTTCGAAACCAGCCTGGCCAACATGGTGAAACTCTGTCGCTAGTAAAAACACAAAAAGTTAGCTGGGTGTGGTGGCATGTGCCTGTAGTCTCAGCCACTCAGGCGGCTGAGGCAGGAGAATCACTTGAACCTGGGAGGGAGAGGTTGCACTGAGCCGAGATCATGCCACTGCACTCCAACCTGGGCATCAGAGCGAGATTCCGTCTCAAAAAAACAAAAAACAAAAACAAACAAACAAACAAAAAACCAAAGTGAATGTACTTAATGCCATTGAACTGTACACTCAAAAATGGTTAAAATTTTGTATGTATATTTTAGTACAATCATGTAAGAGTCCTAGCAAAGTGCCTGACTCTCAGTAGATACTCAAGAAATGCTAGTCCCATTCCTCTTAAAAAAAAAAAAAACAAAAACAAAAACAAAAAGAACCTACAGTAAAATAAAATCATGCGCCTTTCCCTATTTAATTGTGAGAAACTTTGATTCTAAGGCAAAGCCAGCTGGCCCCAATACCAGGTAGTGCCACAGTAAGTGTCTGGGTAGGAAGGAGAAGGAAGTCTGTTCAGTTCCGTTTACCTCCACCCCGTTATGGTGTCTCCCAGAATATCAATCCTCTAGACCCTAACATATTGAAATAAAAAAAAAAAGCCGGGACACTTAAACCAGTTTCCAAACCAGACTTCAGGTCATGAGGAAAAAAGTATTCTGAGTGGCAGCTGGCTCCTGGAAGCAGTGGAGAGATAAGACGCTAGTGCTGAACACCAACTAGATGAGTCTGGATCCCATGCCAGTCCCTGGCATTAAGATGATCTGTATTTCTCAGCTGGTGCGGTGGCTCACACCTGTAGTCCCAGCACTTTGGGAGGACGAGGAGGGCGGATCACGAGGTCAGGAGTTCGAGACCAGCCTGACCAACATGGTGAAACCCCGTCTCTACTAAAAATACAAAAATTAGCAGGGCATGGTGGCGCAGGCCTGTAATCCCAGCTACTCAGGAGGCTGAGGCAGGAGAATGGCTTGGACCCGGCAGGCGGAGGCTGTAGTGAGCCAAGATTGCGCCACTGCACTCCAGCCTGGGCAACAGAGCGAGACTCTGTCTCAAAAAAAAAAAGATGATCTGTATTTCTCTCAGACGCCTTTGGCTGCATCTAATGGACACAGAGGACCAAAGATTCAAAGACCCCTGGTAAAGGAGGATTAAAAATGCACCTGTCTGCAGTTCAGGGAAAACAATGAATGATTATGTGTTGTAAGTCATAAAATAGAGAAGGAGAAAAATAGATGACTTATCTCTAGGCATATCAGGACACTGTTTCTGATGGGCAGGCTTAATTAAATCTTAATGCAATATTCAGAGAGATGATCATCAACACCTCACAATTTTAGCTCAAGGAGAATGAAATGCTTGGGGTACCAACACCCAATCAATTCCAAACAATACTTACTTTAGGGTCTGAGCTCTTGAACTTCAACCTTTCCACCAATTCGATCATAGCGGCCTTCAGTCCACCTGAGTCTTTGCTCTAGAAGAAAGAAAAGTGAGGGGTCACTAGACAGCATTTTGTTGCTCTCTCAAACACAAACAGCATTTTGGAAGACAATGAAATAGAAAGCAATTTTTTCTTAACAGCCAAGAGAGCTAAACAACAAAGGAGAGGTGCATTGCCCCTCTTTCCCTTCTCTATGGACAAAGAGTGTCAGGACATAAATTGCCCAGTGACTGGCACAACTATATGGAATGAAAATTAAATACAATTTGTATAGGCTGACTCACTGCTTCATCTCAGGCTCAACTGTGCTGGTGTTCACTGAAGCTCTACAAAAGACAGTTCCATACAAGATGTCTATTTTACAGACTGGTAATTTTTATTTTGAACCTTTATGCATCAGATATAGAAGTATGCAATATTAAATATACTTATAAAAATTAAAACAAAGAAAATAGTCTGAAATTTAATTATGAATGGAACTGTAGTGTGCTGATTAAGAACACAGGTTTTTTAACTGGGTGTGGTAGCTTGCACCTGTAATTTCAGCTACTCAGGAGGCTGAGGCAGGAGCATTGCTTGAGGCCAGGAGTTCAACACCAAAAAAACCCATAAAACTCACAGGTTTTTGAGTCAGACATATACAGTTCCAATTTTGGATTTGCCATTAACTAGTTGATTAATTTCAGGCAAATTACTAAATGTCTCAAAACCTTCTCCCCCTTCTATAAAATAGTGATAATAAACTGGGCTATTTTGGGGCCTAACTGAAAGTGTTTTAAAAGATATTAGCACAGTATGTGGCACACAGTGAGTGCTCAAAAATTTCATATGCTATTACTATTATTACAGTATAATGATTTAGAATAGCACAGTACAATAAAAGACTAATGTGAGTCCCAAATGCAAGCGTATGTATATAATTTTATAACTGCCACAATTAAAAAGTAAAATTGATTTTGATGTATTTTACTTAACTCAGTATATTCAAAATATCATTACAACATGCAATTTCAACATGAGATTTTTTTTTATGCTAGGTCTTTGAAATCTAGTATTTCACAATTACAGCCCAATCAATTTAAACCAGCCACATTACAAGTGCTCCAAAGCCACATGTGACTAGTGACTACTATATTGGTCAGTACAGATTTAGAGCACAGACTAGAGCCCTAGTGCCATTAGTCACACACTAGCTGTGTGACCTTAGGCAAGTTACTTACCCTCTCTCTGTCTCAATTTCTTTATCTGTAAAATAGAGCCAATAACTATCTATTTCATAGGACTGCAGTAAGATTAAATTAGTTAATGTATGTCAAGGTACTCAGAACAGAGCCTGGCACATGGTAAATAAAAAAGGAAGTATGAAACAGTTTTATTACTATCTGTCTCCCTCGTGATATTTTCAGTTCCTTAAGGGTAAGAACTGTATTTTTTTGTATCCCTGTATCTCTTATGCCCAGCATCTAGATGTTGTAAAAAGTCTGAACAAATCAATGAATGAACATATAACCTTAAGACATGAATGCCATAATAATAATACATTATATTATATATAGGACAATCTAAAATCACAGGAATTCATTTATTTTCTTATCTCAACAACTCTATCAGATAGGTAGGAACATTCATTTCACCAATGAGGGAAAGGAAGCAAAAAGAGGTAAACTCACTGTCATTTCTATGGGGTAGGGACAACAAAGAAGTACAAGAATAAACAGATACTGCAAATATCTCTTACTCAAAATTGGCCTCTGGATCTGTGATAACATATCTTCCAAATTTACAGAACTAATTTCAATTCCTCCAAAATAGGAAATACCTAATAAGATTCCACTATATAAATTAAAATATACTAAAGGGTCAATTTTCCCCCCTCTGACCTCTCTTGCCTCTCAAGTCTACACAGTAAAAATCAGACACAACATGACTACAACCAATATCTACTTTAGATGTGTTCTCCAAACACAGCTTAAATCACATTTCCATGTTAGCAAAGGTTCTAAATTTTAATAAGTTCTATTTTTTAAAATGATGGTTTACAACTCCCCTATATCCTCCACTAATTTTAGTCTTTAATCTCTGTGGTCTCATAGCAGACAGTTGACAAAAGGAACTTAGAGGTCATATACCAGGAAGCAGGTGAGACCTGAAGTGCCTAAAAAAGGGTTAAGTTGCCAGAAACAATCATGCTTTTACGAGATGATCAGACAATAAAGCCTGTCTGGTGATATCATTCCTCTAACCTGCTTCTCATTGGCTGAACAAGCAGGTCACTTGTCCCTGGAAAGCTCTCTTCCCCCACATCCCAGCTGCCAGCGCCCATTTTAAGCTCTTCGGCAAGAGCTCTGATATATTATGACTTTCCCCCTGGCTCTAGAGAACAGAAAGGAATGCACCAAACTGTGTCTTAAAACCTTCAGAAAAGAATAAAACGACAACGAAGGAATCCCTAAGAAGCAGACAGCCTGTCTGCAAGCAGATGTGCCTCGTGTGGATGAATAAGGGAACCCTTAGCCTTCTTTCATAAAAATTCAGTGTGTCAGCAGAATCCTTCCTCCTTTTCACAAAGCATCAGCAGCATCGCCTAACCAGGGAAGAGACAGAGGAGAGGCAACTTAAGAGAGCCTCCCTTCAGGAAACTCACCTGTTCCACCTCCCCACCCCACTCTCTGTGAATTATTCACCAAGATTAACTGGGCTCTATGATGAGCCTGCTATACTCAGTCTCTAAATCAGTGGTGAAGAAAACCTTTCCCAAAGGCTTTTTTAAAAATCTATAAAATAAGCAGTTGGTCAGAAGGCAGAGGCTCCTCGGGGCAGACCTGACCCTGACAGCTGCAGAGCTGGGGCAAGAGTCCAAATGGAGGACTCTGGCCCCAATCCACTCCCACCACTTTCCCCACATTCCAGTCCCTTCCTGCACCCCAAGGGGCCTTGTGCACAGGTGTTCAAGCTAGCAGGTCCAAGCTGAGAATACCCCTCTTGGTCACCCATGATACACATGTGGGACCTAGGGATACATGTATCAGAAACTGGTCCATCTTCAGGCAGACGGACTCAAGGAGAGGCTCTGCAGGCCCTGGAAGCAAGCTCAGGACATTTTACCAGGTAATTCTTGGGTAGCTAGGTACTTGAAGAGTGGTACGGAACGGGACAGGCATGGCTACAGGAGGGGTCTTCAAAAGCATGGGACATAGCCCAGCTACTCGGGAGGCTGAGGCAGGAGAATCGCCTGAACCTGGGAGGCAGAGGCTACAGTGAGCCAAGATCACTCCACTGCACTCCAGCCTGGGTGACAGAGCGAGACTGCATTTCAAAAAAAAAAAAAAAAAAAAAAAAGTATGGGACATAGGTCAGGGGCATGGGGTTGTTTGGGTCTAAGGGTGGTGGTATCTGAGTCTGAGTATCCCCAAACCATAGAATAGTACCATGTTTTGGTTAATTATTTGTTTGCTGAGGACAGCCATTAGTCAAAAGATAGCCAGACAGGAGATTATATCCTCATTTGTTCCATAGTTAGGGAACCAGTGAACAGAAAAGATAGTGGAACAGAACAGCTGCCTCTGAAACCTGAGTTCTAATTGAGAAGTGAACCAGGATAGTAAGAAAAGACAGCCTAATTCTAACCTTGTAGACATTTGGTTCCATTTTTAGAAATGATTGTCAATCCTTGGGGCACATAACATGACTAGCAAAGTAGTAGGATTCCCCTGCTATCTGTACTTCTCCACCTCCATCCCACCCAATGCATTCCAAGAACACAGGAGTTCAATGTGAGCATATCTTGTTTATGTACCTTGTTCCTCCCCTAAGAAGGTGTAGAATAAAAAGAGATAAGTGCTACATTGTGACACCCACCACTCAGAATTTGATTAATCTGTAGAAGCATAGGATGCTTCACAGAAGCCACCTCCTAGGGATGAGTCATAATAAAACCAAAGGACAAAATGCTGTACATGTGAAGGTATTCTTTAGTCTCCAAAGCACTTTCATATGCTCTTTCATTGGCATCTCACTGAAAAGCAGTGTATTCTCACTTTACAGCTGAAAAAAATGGCTGGTGAAAATCAAATGAACCCAAAGCTCAGAGCGCTTATACTCTTTCACTGGCATTTCACAGTAATACAATAACTAAAAGGTAGTGTATTCTCCTTCACAATGGACAAAAATGGCATTGTGGATGTCAAACAATGTCCCCAAAATCACAGAGCTGGTCAGTGACAAAACCAAGATCAGAAAGATCTAAATGAAAAAGATTTATAACATATACATGGTATCAAGAATACAGAAAAAACACATAAGGGATTTCTATACATCAGTAAGAAAAGGCCAAATAAACCCAACAGAAATCTCCAAAAAAAAATGAACAAACGAGACCCTGTCTTAAAAAAAATAGAAATGTGAAATGCAAACACATCAAAACATGCAAAAGATGCTCAGACTCACTCATGATTAAAATATAATTTCTTACCCATCAGCCTGAAATAAATTTTAATCTCATAACAGCAAGTGTTAGGCCCTGGGGAAATTGGGGACTTCCATATGTTGTTGATGGATATATAAAATAACTGCCACTCTGAAATCACATGCCTACCAATCCACTTCTCCTTTCCTCTTGAGGAAGACTAGCACCTGTGTCAAGGATGCATGTACAAAAGTATTTATTGCAGCACTGTTTGTAATACTAAAAATCTGTAAACACCCCAAGGATTCATAAATATTGGGTGGCTAAATAAACTGTGGAATTAACACACTGTGGAATACGACATAGCAAATAAAAAGAATGAGGTAGGTTGTATGTACCTGGATACAATGCATGACATATTGTTGAATTTAAAAAAAAAAACAAAACCTTGCAAAATGGTACATGTAACAGTTTTTTAAAAAATTATTACTTTCTATGAGTGACATAGGTATGTAGAATATTAGAAAAGCAATTATTGCTGGGACTGGTACTTAGGATAGAAGGATTTTAGAGTTAAATATATTCCTATTAATTGCATAATTAAGATTTAGCATACTAAAAAACAAACAAACAAAAAAAGGCAGGCAGTAAGGCAGGGAGAGAAGCAGAAGTTGACCAAGAGGGCCAAGGTCTCCTGCTTACAGTGCTTCTTCCCATGAATTTGCCTAAATGTAAATACTGGGGCCTTTTCCTTTGACAATGCAAACATATGGACCAGCAGATTCAAGAGAAGGTTCTTTACTTGATATTCATGTATGGATTTCAGGGGGTCTGAAATCCTCAAAACGATATAAAATTTGGGCTGTACATGACATTAGCTTTTCTCACATCCTCAAAAACAATTAACATTCCAAATGTAAAGAGCATTGCACAAAGAGAAAGGAGACCTAGGTTTTACTACTAGCACTGCCAGCAACTGCTTGTGTGAGCTTGGAAAAGTCATTTTACATCCCTGGGTTTCTGTTTTTCCATCTGTAAATGAGGAAGATGGACCAGATCAAAAGCTATATATCCACAGCCTGAGGCCTACAGAACTATTTTCTTTGGCTTTTAGAGTGTTGTCCCACACATCCACTAAGAGTTTTAAGTTAGTTGCTAGCATTTAAAAATGAGGACATATGACATAAAAATAAAGATTTCTAGCTTCTTTTGTAAATCCAAAGGGTATGACTGTAATGGGCTCCCATTCCCATATAGCAGAAATTGGCTGAAGCTGAGTAGCAACTACTCACTTTAGGCAAAGCAACCTCTCTCAAGTTTGCCAGTTACCTTGGCTTGCTTCTCTTCTTTACATTACCTTTCTGGTAGATATCTGAAGTTGCTATCCCTGGAAGCAATTCTAAATGTTTTCTACCTCTAATGTTCCTTGTGTTTGAACACCATGAAAATTGGGGTGCCTTTCTTCAAAGGAGTACATATTACCTGATACATTCAGATCCATCCACCCCAAAACACAGAAATAACATTTCATGCTAATGGAAACATGCCTTAAAAATGGGTAAAGGGTAGAAGCAAAAGTAGAATATGGCAGGTAGCAGTGGCATCAGAATAGGAAGAAGAATTCCTTGACAAGTGGTCTCTGCACTTTCATGGAAGTCAGTCTAGTCTAATGCCAATAACCAGCTAGGCACCCAAAAGAAAAGTCACGTGTCAGCAAAAATGTAAATATAAGCCACATAAATATCCTAAACTGGCTCCTGAATATTGAATTCTATTATTACAAAGAATCAATCAGAAGATGTTGAATTCAGAAAGAATACTAGCTATCTGTATTGGGGTGTTTTCCTCCCTATTCCATTGGCTTGTGTTGATATCATTCTTCTAAAAAAAAAAAAAAAATCAATCCAACTTAGTCATTTTACCAGAAGGTCTTGTCTGGGAGAAATTGTGGAAAAGGATCAGAAGATGGAATACAGAAGTCCTCCTTGGTCAGGCGCAGTGACTCATACCTGTAATCCCAGCACTTTGGGAGGCCAAAGTGGGTGGATCATTTGAGGCCAGGAGTTTGAGACCAGCCTGGCCAAGATGGAGAAACCCTATCTCTACTAAAAATACAAAAATAAGCCGGGCATGGCCTGTATTCCCAGCTACCTGGGTAGCTGAGACATGAGAATCACCTGAACCCAGGAGGTGGAGGTTGCAGTGGGCGGAGATCAACTGCCATCTATCCTGAGCAACAGAGTGAGACACTGTCTAAGAGAATGGGGAGGGGAGGGAGCGGGGAGAGGGGAGAGGGAGGGGAGAGGAAGTCCTCCTAAGGAATCAAATCAGAAAGCAAAGTTTTGTCAAAAGGAAATGAAATTAAATTTTAGTATCACCATCCCATGTACGAAAATTTTTACCACCTCCTTTATATTACTTCATTTTCTAACTCCAAACCCACTCCTACACTAGGCCATCACTTTTAGTTGTCAGACTCAAAGTCATTCTTGGGTCTGAAAAAAAATCCATCAGCAAGTCTTTTTAGGCCGAACTCTAAAATATATGCCATATCCAGTTGGCATGTATTCTTCACTATCGTATTGTCCACTATTCCCAACCTGGTACAAGCAGCAATACCGCTCCCACTCTTGCTACCCAACAGCCCATTCTCCACATAGGAACCAAAGAGAAGTTTTAAGAATATAAACCAGATCATTTACTCCCTTGCTTAAACAGTCTATGACTACTTAGAATAAAACCCAAAATCCTTACCACAGCCTACTTGGTAATCTGACCTCATCTACTAGTCAACCCCTACCCCACCACTACTGATTATACTCCAGCCATTCATTTTATCCCCTTAGTAAACTTGTTCTATCTCAGGGCTTTTACACTTGCTGTTCCCTTCAGTTGAACCACTATGTCCCTAGAGCTTCTCATCACTGGCTCTAACTACACCCAGGTCACTAGTTCAAAAAGTCCTCAGATCCTTAAAAAGCTTCCCTCTCATTCCCACATCCCAGTCACTCCCTATCTCCTTCCCCAGTTTGTTTATTCACAGTACTTATCATTATTTAAAATATCACTTATCATTTAACTTCCTTACTGTCTGTTTTGCTCAAAGATTATAAATTCCATGACTTAGAGTTGCTTCTTGTTGGTTCCCTACTGGCCAAAATACTCCACCTGGCAAATTTTAAGCCTTCAATAAATATTTGTTGAATGAATAAATAGACCAAAAGAAAAGAAATGCCACTAACTTCGAATAATATATAAAATTATCTTAAGAAATACTATACCTCAAAGAATTGTGGTAAACATTAAATGAAAGAATATGCAGAAAGTTTAGAGAAGCAGTACAAGCTAAGTTCTCAATAAATGTTAGTTATAATTTCTGTTGTTATTATTAATTAAATAACAATACATTGAGTGACTACTAAGTATCAGGTATTGACCTAGAGAAGTGCTGAATAGAACAAAATAAAAAAAATATTTTACTAATTAAAATTATATATAATATATAGAAAGAAGACCAAAGAGAAGGGGAAAATAGTTTTAGGATATTCAGAAAGTATTCATCTATTAAATGCCTTCATATAGAAAATAAACATAAGGATAATGTGTCAGTACAACTTAGATTAAATATGAGAGGGAGTAATCAAATTTGTAGAGGCAAAATGGAATGGTGGAAAGAATATGTACTTTGTCAGGCCTGGATTCAAATCCCAGTCCTTACGCTTGCTAGCTAAGTAACTGTCAGCAAAACTTAACCTCTTTTGAGTTTCCTCATACATAAAATGGAAAACATAACAACATAGCTAATTGTGGAATTTTATTAAGGATCAAATGAAACAATATATGAAAAGGACCTGGCCACAAACCACTCAATAAATGACAGCTATTTGTTATTTTTCTCATATCTCTGGAAATTCAAACAAAATTCAGCAACAGACAAAATTCAACAACAGTCTCAAAACAACAGTCTCAAAATTCAAAAACAGACAAAAACAGTCTCAAAATTCAACAACAGACAAAGGTTTCTAGACTCTTGGTTTTATAACCTCGGCCAAAGATTAGCATTTTCATTATTTATACACATGAAGTCAGAGTCTACCAATCAACACAGGTTAGAGCCTGCCAGGGTTCACACACACTCAAAATTCACAGAGGAAAATAGTATGGGTGCCTATATAAACTTAACCTTACATCTCTCCCCATGACTGCCTACTAGAAAGAAAATGAAGGCTATTTTCCAACCAGAAAGTAAAGAGTATCTTGTCCCCACCTCCCCTCTGCTTCTATAAAAACTTCCCACAGTTCAGAATGTAAAACAGAATCTAAAGAGGACAACCAGCAAGACTTGTGAACCTAAAATTAGACCTACCAGCTGTGTTTTGGTTAGCTAGTGCATAAGGCACCAGCAGGACACTGAAATATACAGAAGCCTCTTCTCCAAAGACAAGTTTTTCTCCAGCCTATCTACCCACCAGATTAGAGCAGGCAGAAGGAACAGAAGGAGAGGGGGATGAACAGTTTGCACCCAAGAAACTTGGTGTCCAGAGCTTCTACTGCTGCCAGACTAACTTGTCTGGAAAGGAACTCAGAATAGAACCTTAGATGGCTTTATAACAGTAATAAGAATAAGAGCAACCCATTGCTGAGGGCTTATGATATTCCAGGCACTGTGCTAAACTCTTTACATCTATGATCTTGTTTGTTCCTCATCATAACTCAATAAGGAGAAACAATTACTTAGCTCATGTTACAGAAGAAGAAACCAAGACTCAGAGGCTGAGTGAATTACTCAACATTATACAGCTAGTAGGTGGAAGAGCTAAGACTCAAAAACAGACTGCAAAGCCAACTGGGTCAAAGACTGTTTGGTCCTTCAATATTCTTCTCCCATTTTTCCTTAGTAAAAGAACCTCAGCTTTTAGCTGCACACGCTGTGGCCTGGAGAAATGACTGTTTCCCAGTCTCCCTTGCAACTAGATAAGGCCAGGGTATTGAGTTCTGGCCAATGAAACATAAGCAGCAATGTATATAACTTCTCGAGAGTTCCCTTTAAAATAGAGCAGTGTGCCCAGCCAGGTGCAGTGGCTCATGCCTGTAATCCCAGCACTTTGGGAGGCCGAGGTGGGTAGATCACGAAGTCAGGAGATCGAGACCATCCTGGCCAAAATAGTGAAACCCCGTCTCTACTAAAAATACAAAAATTAGCTTGGCAGGGTGGCAGGCGCCTGTAATTCCAGCCACTTGGGAGGCTGAGGCAGGAGAATCACTTGAACCCGGGAGGCGGAGGTTGCAGTGAGCCGACATCGTGCCACTCCGTCTCAAATGAACAAACAAACAAAAATAGAGGGGTGTGCCCTTCTTCACTTTTCTATGTCTGTCATTCTGGAACTTGGACCTCCAGCAGTCATCTTGGCCCATGACACAGTAAGGATGTCAGAATGGAGCTGAAAAGAGCCTAGATTTCTGGTAACTTCATGGTTCTGCCACGCCAACCTTAGACTGCCTACACCCAAAGTTATTTTATGTGACAGAGAAATAAACATCATGTGGGAGTGGTTATTTTGGATTTTTCCAAATTATTTCATTATTTTAGATGCAGTCAAATTAATCCCAATGTAAACACTGATCTACAACAACTATGCAATACTCTCTCAGTTCTTCATTAATGCCCTGGAACTAGACAAGATTATTACACTTCCTATCACATACTTCATGTTCATCTACCATCCAGCAGGCACTGTGCTAGGTGCTGGGAATACAAAGATGAATAACATATAGTTCTAGCCTTAAAGAATTTATAACCCACCAGGGAAAGACATGGAAAGAAATAACATGACATAGTACACAGTATTTAGTGCTACAATAAATGTTCACAGGCTGTTATAATGGGAACAAAAGGATACCTCAAAGCCTGTATCTACCTAGTAACACCCTACCCATCTTTCAAGGCCTACCTCAAAGACTCCTTCCTCTAAGAATCTATTCCTGGCTCCATGCCCTCCAGTGATATCAATTTCTCTTTTCTCTCCACTTCCATAGCATACTGTTTGTACCTTTTCTCTAATACACACAAATAAGCATGTGAAAAGATTCTCTTTCCTATTAGGCTGTAAGCTTCCTGAAGTTAGAAACTTTGCTTATTCTTCTTCGTATCCACCACACAGTTCACCATAATAAGTGCTCCAAAATTATTCAGATGAATAAAATTAGTTTAAGAAAATAAAATATCATTCTCTAAAATGAAAGCCAGCTATATGTTATAGTTTGGACATACTATAATGAATGTATTTGCTAATCTTCTTATTGATGTTAAAAACCAATTATTACCTTACCAAAAACTAACTAAACCCATCTGAAGTGGGTTTAATATATAAATGTTCAACAAAAATAATCTAGCACATTATAGTATACATCAAAGTCACTGCCCATAGAGTTATTTGCCGTAAATTGTGGATTGAGCCTTTGGTATATTTGGGAAATTTTGTTTGATTGGTTGGTTTTGGTTTTTTCATTCTTGATCAGTTTTCTGACATTTAAAAAGGGCATCAATATTGATTTTTTTTGCACCTGATGCAATGTTGACTTGATCCTATCATAGCGATATATACATACACGCAAACACATGTGCGCATGTGTACACACACACACACACACGCAAATTCTCTCTCTCTCCCACTCACACACACAAGATTCAACTCTCCCAGAGCCAGCCTTCTGCATTTCTTACCCCATTCTCATCTCTACTCCCCGTATCAAGACTAAAGCTTCTGTTTCATCCATTGTCTATAATACGTCTCCTATTCTGAAAGGTCCATGAGCATCTGTGTTCCTTACTGCCACCTAACAAGTTTAGCCCCTGGTTCTGAATATTAAAACAATAATAAGAACAGGAAACTCGGCTGGTCCTCTCAGACTGAACCATAACTTCAAGCAGAACACATACGAGGCACTGATACAGATGAATCTCTGGCTTCTCAGACTTGGGTTAGGTGCAAGCGGAGAGAAAAGGTGGGTATGTCAATGAACAGGCAGGCAGGGCAACCTCCCTGTCAAGAGTGGTGGTCAAGACAATGGTGACAGAGGCTCAAGAGTCCTTTATCACCAGAGGAGCCTAAGAATAAGCCTACTGCATCAGCAACCTTACCCAAAAAATCAATTGCCTAACAGCATAAAATGCCTATGAACTCATCCTATTTTGATTGAAAGGCCAGGAAAGAGAAAAAGAGGGCACCAGACTTCTAGGAGAGAGAATAGAGAAAGCCTGGACCTTTTCTCTCAAAAGTGGATTGTTCAGACCACTGGCTAAGCACTCTAGTTCTTTAATGAAGCTCCATCACCATCAATGTTAAATCCCCTGAAAAATCTAACTAATGTAAAATAATCTCATATTCCCTCCATAGAGCAGTATTTTCATCTATGCTAACAACACATTCAATTGCTAGAACAATGCCATTCTCTCATTTACAGAGCCAACTAACCCTTCTATAAGGAGTTGTTCATTTACACCAAACCAATTGTCTCTGCCATGAATAAAATCACTGGACTCTATACAGTAGCATCGAATGGTAACACAATAGGAAAATTTCCCTAGATCTTCACAGGATGTCATAATTCAGGTCTCTGCCCAATATCATATGCTCAGAGATGCCTTCTATAACACATCTTATCAAAAAGTAACCTATCCTGCCACACCAACTCATTCTTACATTACCATGATTTATTGTTTTCATTGCATATAACACCATCCAAAATTACTCTACTATTTCTTTCCCACTGTAGAGAGTGAATTCCAAAAAGCTAGAGCCCTATCTGTCTAGTTCACTGCATACTTCCAAGACTTTTTACAGGTTAAGAAAGTACATTTTGATTGGAAATCCCAGAACTGCAGGCCTCACATAAACTTTCTACAGAACTATGCAGGGTGGCTCCAACTAATGACAGCATGCCATCCCCTTTACCTTGGTCTTAGCGTTTGTCTTATTCTGTACAAATAAATAAGACACTGGTTGAACCACTATGTATGCCAGTGCTACAAACTCTAATTAGAAGGTGACCTATATCTCTTCAGCAAGAATAAAAAGTAAAAAATATAAATAGATACATTACAGCAAGCCTTCAACCTTCTGTCTCCCTGTCAGAGCTTCTTCTATGGGCTGAATGAAAAGCCAGATTCACTGACCACTATGGAATATACTACGGCATACCTCCAGCCCCTCGAGAATCACAGCTATATCCTCCCATTCACCCAGACACCAATGTTCCTCAGTCACTCCCCAAGCAGTTGTTCCGCTTATCACTTAACCAAACATTCTCCCCAAATATCCATCTTAAAAGCAAAGGGTGTGGCTTAAAACCCTTTTGATCTGTCTTTAGAAAAGCCATGTTAAGAACTCCACAAATGCTATATATTTACTGAATTCTGCCAACCACTTCTCCCTTTGCCACTTTGTAAGACTCTACCTTTTCTTCAGGTGATCTTGGGGTACACTAGACGAGTGGTTTTCAAACCACAGGACATGACACATTAGTGTGCCATGAAATCAGTTTAGTGGGAGTGTCTAGAATTTTTTTTAACAGAATAGAAGAGAAACAGAACATATCGTATGTAGTAAGGCAAATGGTGTTCCATTTGAGTTAAAAGGGTATGTGTAGTGGGTGGCTGTGTGTATAAAGGAGATCACAGTATAAAATATATTTCCTCTACTGTAGGTTGTGTTCAAAATAATTTTAAAAATTACTAGACTACTGAGTATATCTAAAGCACTTTTATTGTTCAACATAAAAATTCATTAAATGTATCTCTGAATGCAAATTCCCTTGACAATGTAAGAATTTTCATATGAATAAATCCATAAGCCAGATCAAGCTCTTTTGTCAGATCCAGTGACCCATTTTCGTAGATAGAAATTATGGTCAGAGTAAGAGAATCCCACATATCTGAGATGACAAGTCATGACTCAGGTAAGAAGTCATAAATTGGGCTGCATAACTATTTTTCTATGATAAAGCTAAAGACTAGGCTCAGTTCAAACTTCGACCCACAAAATCTTCTGGAGACCAAATGCCACAGACCAAAACTGCAATACAGCAATGTCCAGGAGAAAAGAAAGAACAGTACTTCAAGTGACTAAATGCTGATCTTACGCCTTCAAGATGTTCACTCAGTCCATTTGGCCTAGCAGGTTGTCTCCATCCCTAATCCCCTCTTGCTGTAGGATCACCCTGTTTTTCTGCTCATTCTGGCCTACTCTGAAGTTTGCTTTTTCTCTAAATGTCAGCAGACTTTGGCAAGAACTTGGCCTTCTATTGCCAATATCAGCCACTGACAGCCTGGTTAAACACTGAGGTATCAAAACATAAATTGTACAAATTCCTCTCAATTCTAAACTTGTATAATTAGCCTCCTTATATTAATAATAAAAAGAAGAGCTAACATTTAGTGAGCACTAACAATGTGTTAAGCATTGTTAAAGTCTCTTAATCACCCACAAAGTCATTTCATTCTCACAAAAGTTCTATTTTATTTCTTATCATTATGCCCATTTTAGAAATGCAGAAACAAGAACAAACTATAACATAACTTGCCTAAGGTCAAAAAATGGTAGAGCAAGGATATTTCCTGTCCCTCTCTAATCCTGTATTATGTTTTACTTTTCATTTATAATACTTATTACACGTTTGCTTATTTGTTCTTTTCTACTTCCTTCCAACAGAATGTAAGCTCTGACAGAAGTACAGACTTTCATTTTGTTCACTGCTATATTCCCAATACTTAGAAAGTACCTAAACTCAGTTGATTCTCAATACTTGCTGAATGAATGAATGCAGTATAACAACGATCCTCTTCTTTTGCCCATCATCCCACTAAGCCACTTTTACTGTTCCAAGATATTCTCTTGCCAATAAGTAAATGTACATTGCACTCGAAACATTTAAAACCAGAGAACTGAAACTAGAGCTGCCATCAAGCTCATATCTTTATCGAATCAAAATGAGCAGCTTCTCACCCTAGCTACCTAAAAGAGCAAATGTCATGCTCTTTCTGAGGAGAATAAAGAAAATATTACTCCAGTCTTTACAATTCCTTCAAACACAACATCTGGCATTAAATGAAAAACTGTGAGACATGACAAGAATCAGAAAAATGTAACATACAATCAAGGATGATTCCCAAAAAGATCCAGAGAAATAGATCTCTAAATAAATAACCAAATTGACATTCTAGAGTTGAAAAACACGGTATCTTAAATTAAGAATTGAATGACACTCAATGGAGTATTTCCAGCTGCTATACATGAAGAATGAAGCAAATCTATGGAGTGATTTCCAAGACGTACTAAGTGTAAAAAACAAAGCGTAGAAGAATATTATATTCTCCCAAAACCTTGTAACTCCAGTTTCACCATAAGAAAAAACACCAGACAAATCCAAATCAAGGAACATTCTACAAAATACCTGACTAGCACTACTTAATACTATCAAGATCATCCAAAACAAGGAAATGTAATGTGAAGTCCTGGATAGAATCGTGGTACAGAAGTCATCAAGAGGAAAAACTAGTGACATTCAGTAAAGTCTATAGTTCAGTTAGTAATGTTCTAACATTAGGATAAGCAGAGTACACGAAGCAGTTCTTGATCTGAGAACATATACTGAGCCCAAGAAACTAGGCTGTGCATTTGGTTAGTAGAAAGTGAGGTGTGAGGGAAGCATGGGATAACAGAAAGCAAAGCCTATGGCATGCTCAGAGTAAAACATTTAAAGGACGGCCAGGCATGGTGGCTCACACCTGTAATCCCAGCACTTTGGGAAGCCAAGGCGGGTAGATCATTTGAGGTCAGGAGTTCGAGACCAGCCTGGCCAACATGGTGAAACCTGGTCTCTACTAAAACTACAAAAAATCAGGCGGGTGTGGTGGCACATGCCTGTAGTCCCTACTACTTGGGAGGCTGAGGCAGGAGAACTGCTTGAACCCAGGAGGCGGAGGTTGCAGTGAGCAAGATCACGCTACTGCACTCCATCCTGGGCAACAGAATGAGGCTCTATCTCAACAACAACAACAACAACAAAAAACAAACAAACAGAAAAACCATTTAAAGCAGATCCTTTCTGGCCAGGTGTGGTGGCTTATGCCTATAATCCCAGCACTTTGGGAGGCCAAGGCAGGTGGATCACCTGAGGCCAGGAGTTCAAGACCAATCTGGCCAACATGGTGAAACCCCATCTCTATACTAGAAATATAAAAAATTAGCTGGGCATGGTGGTGGGCGCCTGCAGTTCCAGCTACTCAGGAGGCTGAGGTAGGAGAATCACTTGAATCTGGGAGGTGGAGGTTGCAGTGAGCCAAGATGGAGCCATTGCACTCCAGCCTGGGTGACAAGAGTGAAACTTCGTCTCTAAATAAATAAATAAATAAATAAATAAATAAATAAAGGGGATCCTTTCCATATAGACTTGGGACCCTCTCACCTTTTCACCCTGCTAAAAATCTCAGAGTAAAAGCAAACTAAACTTGTTACTATCCAAACATCCAAAGGGGAAGGTAGAGAGGTTAACAAAACAGAGAGGGGGAAAAAATGAAAGAAAATCTCTAAGATGTGGGCAAGGTCCTCCTGAAAGTTTGGTCCAAGAAACCTCAAGAAATTAATTTAGTAGAAGGGGATTCTAAACAAGTTGTACTCTCAGGCCTTAGCAGAATCAAACTCGAATCCTCTCTTGAAGTATGCAGCTTCATGCAAGATTTGGAAAAGTCCCATAAGCAGTTTTTAAAAGGCAATGAGAAGCTACACAGCTACACAGAACCCAGCACAAAAAGAAATAAAAACATGAAACATGAAAAACTAAAAACAGCAGCAAAAAGAGGTCCACAAAGTCTTCACATACTAGAATTATCAGAGGCAGATTATCAATCAATATGCCTACAGTTCTTAAAGGAATAGCTAAGACAGCTACAGAATGAAAAAAAAAGAATTATGATTCACAAATTTATACTAGCACATTTGAAAATTTACATAAAATGGACAAACGTCTGAGAAAATGTAACTTATCAAAACTGACCTAAGAAAAAATAGACAACCTAGACAGACCTATGACTATTAAAGAAATTGAGTCCATAGTCAAAAATACTATGTAAAACAATAATACCTAGCAATCCCATTACTGGGTATACACCCAAAGGAAAATAGATTATTTTATTACACAGATACACGCACGTGTATGTTCACTGCAGTGCTATTCACAATAGCTAAGACACTGAATCAATTTAAATGCCCATCAGTGATAGACTGGATAAAGAAAATGTGGTACATATACCATGGAATACTATGCAGCCATAAAAAGGAATCCGATCATGTCCTTTGCAGGGACATGGATGGAGCCAGAAGCCATTATCCTCAGCAAACTAATGCAGGAACAGAAAACCAAATGCTGCATCTTCTCACTTACAAGTGGGAGCTGAATGATAGAACATATGAACACATTGTGGGGAACAACATACACTGGAGCCTGTCAGTGGATAGGGGGTGGGAGGAAGGAGAGCATCAGAAAGAATAGCTAATGGATGCTGGGCTTAATACCTAAGTGATGGGATGATCTGTGCAGCAAACCAGCATGGCACATGTTTACCTATGTAACAAACCTGCACATCCTGCACATGTACCCCAGAACTTAAAAGTTTGAAACTAAAAATAATAAAATGTTGGTGATCAGTTAAAAAATGTAAAACCAAAAAACAAAACAAAAGAAAGCACCAACAATAAACCAACTCTCCCTTCCCCCTTCACTCTCTCCAGGAATAGATGGCTTCCATGGTCAGTTCTACCAATCAATATAGGAAGAAATATTTCAATCTTTCACAAATACTTCCAGACCATTAAAAGAGAGAAAGAATATATAAGAAACACTACACTCTGCCTCAGACTATGAAGCCAAACTTTGATAGCAAAATCCCATAAGAACAGTAAAAGAACAATGATAGGCCAATTTCTCCCATAAATATAAATGAAAAAAAACTACATAAATTATTAATAAGCCAAATCCAAAAACATAAGGCTACTTCATTATGACCAAGTTGGATCAAGGATATCCCAGAAATGCTAGTCTTTCTGCTTTAATTATAAAATACAACAATACGAAGAGATGAAAGTAAGACCATATATATGCACACACCTATATTTGCAGAAACACACACCTGAAGGGTAACCAAAAAACTAATAAAAATGGTTATTGGCCAGGAACAGCCTGTAATCCCACAGCTGTAGGAGGTTGAGGCGGGAGGACTGCTTGAGGCTAGGAGTTCAAGACCAACTTGGGCAACATAGCAAGACACCCATCTCTACAAAATAAAAAATAAATAGTTAGCCAGGCATGGTGGCACACCTGTAGTCCTAGCAACTCAGGATGCTCAGGTGGGAGGATTGCTTAAGCCCAGGAATTTGAGATTACAGTGAGCTATGCTCCCACCACTGCATTCCAGCCTGATCAACAGAGTAAGATCCTGTTTCTAAGAAAAAACAAGTAGTTACCAACAGCTGGTAGAAGAATCAGGTGAAAAGGACACAGGCTTTTGAGGTATATGAATGTATCACTGATTTTAAAAATTAACTTTAATAAGTAAATCAATTAATGTAATTCATCATCATAAAAGTGAAAGAGAAAATCACATGATCATCCCAAAAGATGCAAAAAAAGCATTTGATATTAAATAACCAATCAAAATTCAGAAAAACTTAGCAAACCAGGACTAGAATTTTTTTAAACTGATAAAACATATCTATTTTCAAAAACCATAGAACATATCACTTATTTGTGCAATGTTATCAATTACTGCTAGACTAGGAACAAGGCCAGAATACCCACCAACCACATCCATTCAACATAATACTCGGGGTGCTATCCAATGCAGTAAGGCAAGAAAAAACAAATAACAGATATAAGGATTGAAAAGAAACAAACAAAAAGTATCTCTCTTCACACATAATACAATCAGGTATGTAGAATAAATCTACAGATAAATTATTAGGATATGTAAGATAATTCAGCAGATAGATCACAAAAAAACAATATATAAAAGTTAATCATATTCCTATATTCAATTAGAAAACAAAACTTAAAACCATTTATTTTTATTTTAGAGATAGGGTCTTGCCGTGTCGACCAGGCTGGAGGGAAATGGCAGGATCATAACTCACTGCAGCCTCAAACTCCTAGACTGAAGCAATCCTCCCACCTCAGCCTTCCATATAGCTGACAGGTGTGAGCCACTGTGCCTGGCTCATATTTTCTACAATATTATAAAATTATGAAGTATCTAGGAATAAATTTTACAATGATGTGAAAAATCTTTGAGGAAAAAAATATAAAACTTAACTGCGAAGCAATAAAAAAGACCTAAATTAATGAATCAGAAGACTTCATGTTGTAATGATATTAATTCTCCCTATATTGGCTTATAAATTTAATATCCAAATACACTCCTGCAGGCTTTTTAATACTATGATTCTAAGAAATGTAAAGTGCCAAAACTGGCCAACACACTCTTGTAGGACAAGATGGAAGGACCTGCTTTACCAGATATTAAGACATATTATAAAGGGATAACTGAGAAAACATGCTGTTCACACAGGGATATACTAACAGATAAACAGTAGAGAACAGAAGAACCAAGAAACACATTCACACATATTATGGGCACTTGATATATGACAGTGGGACAGCAAATCAGTGCACAAAGGAAGGGCTTTTCAATAAATACAGCAATAGCAATTGGCCATCTGTATGGAGAAAAAATGAAATTGCGCCCCTACTTCTACTACACAAAAATCAATACTA